>NC_000020.11:5520880-5672395 GCF_000001405.40 Homo sapiens | reverse complement strand
GAGGCCTCCCCAGTCATGTGGAACCGTGGGTCAGTTACACCTCTTTCCCTTATAAATTACCCAGTCTAGGGAAGTTCTTTATAGCAGCATGAGAACAGACTAATATAAGATCACTTTTTTATATTTATTTTTTATTTATTTATTTATTTGAGACGGAGTTTTGCTCTTGTTGCCCAGGCTGGAGTGCAATGGCACAATCTCGGCTCACCGCAACCTCCACTTCCTGGGTTCAAGCGATTCTTCTGCCTCAGCCTCCCCAGTAGCTGGGATTACAGGTGTGCACCACCATGTCTGGCTAATTTTGTATTTTTAGTAGAGACAGAGTTTCACCATGTTGGTCAGGCGGGTCTCGAACTCCTAACCTCAGATAATCCACCTGCCTTGGCCTCCCAAAGTGCTGGGATTACAGGAGTGAGCCACCCTGCCTGGTCCAAGGTAACTTTTTTTAAAAAAAGGATTCTGATGCAGGCCGGGCGCGGTGGCTCACGCCTTGTAATCCCAGCACTTTGGGAGGCCGAGGTGGGTGGATCACAAGGTCAGGGGATCGAGACCATCCTGGCTAACACGGTGAAACCCCATCTCTACTAAAAATACAAAAAATTAGACGGGCGTGGTGGCAGGTGCCTGTAGTCCTAGCTACTCGGGAGGTTGAGGCAGGAGAATGGTGTGAACCCGGGAGGCAGAGCTTGCAGTGAGCCGAGATTGTGCCACTGCACTCCAGCCTGGGTGACACAGCAAGACTCCGTCTCAAAAGAAAAAAAAAAGATTCTGATGCAACTTTTAACGTCTGCTGACTATTTTAAGACACTCAAGAGTGTGGGGTAATTGTTATACACCAAGGAAAGCACTGGGTTCTTACCAATCTGGAGCAGGGCATGGTGGCTCACGCCTGTAATCCCAGCACTTTGAGAGGCCAAGGCAGGCAGATCACCTGAGGTCAGGAGTTTGAGACCAGCCTGGCCCACATGGCGAAACCCCGTCTCTAAAATACGAAAATTAGCCAGGCATGGTGGTATACGCTTGTAATTCCAGCTACTCAGGAGGCTGAGGGGGGAGAATCTCTTGGACCCAGGAGGTGGAGGTTGCAGTGAGCTGAGATCGCACCACTGCACTCCAGCCTGGGTGACAGAGCAAGACTTTTTCTCAAAACAACACCACCACCACCACCACCATCTGGGCTGGAGAAATGTAAAGGGGACATATCCAAGCAGTTGGTGGAATCTCTCTCTTCTGTTTCATGGTGAGGCAGGGATTCCCAGAAGAGCATGAGCCCTGTTTGTCTGGATGCCTCTGCTCCCATCAGGGCCCTCTACAGACAGACAGCTCTGGTCACCCTTGTGTTGTAAACAGATCGCCAAGGCCCCTGGTCTCCAGCGCTCCCTCCCTCCTTCACAGGCCCCACCTCAGCATTTAAACTTCTTCTGGAACTTTTGCCTGAGCCCCAGATTCTCATGGGTCTCATTTGCTGTCTTGCTGCAGACACTGAAGGAGCTGAGCACAAACTTTCCATTATTTTCTTTTTCTTTTTTTTTTTTTTTTTGAGATGGAGTCTCGCTCGGTTGCCCAGGCTGGAGTGCGGTGGCGCGATCTCGGCTCACTGCAAGCTCCACCTTCTGGGTTCATGCCATTCTCCTGCCTCAGCCTCCCAAGCAGCTGGGACTACAGGTGCCTGCCACCACGCCTGGCTAATTTTTTTGTATTTTTAGTAGAGACGGGGTTTCACTGTGTTAGCCAGGATGGTCTCGATCTCCTGACCTCGTGATCCACCCGCCTCGGCCTCCCAAAGTGCTGGGATTACAGGCATGAGCCACCGCGCCCGGCAACTTTCCATTATTTTCAAAGGGGACATCATACTGAGTTTCTGAGGTTGTTAGAAAAATAGATGATTTGTGCCACTAAAGTTAAAGATGGGGGCATTTTTTTTAGTGGACAAAAAAGTAATAAATTTTAGGAGCATTGTTTCACTCTCAAACATCATTATAATCATGCAGAAGGAAAGAAAACTAATCACTTATGGTTCCATTACCACCTGTTTTCACATTTTTAATGACAGTCAGCAAAAGCGGTAGGTTTAAAAGAACAATTTTCGATTTCTTCTCACCTCGATTTTCTGCTAGTGAATTTCACTGTTGCGTCTTGAGTGCTTCTGTTGCAACACATGTGTGTTCATTTCTGCCTATACTTGTGGCCTCTCTCCAGCTATTAAGCCACCCACAGTTTAATTCATGTGTATCATCCGTTCATTAGGGAGTGCAAGGCAGAGGGGTTTTGAAAACTATTTTCATTCAATCTAGTGCGTGTGGAAAAAAAGAAAATTCTATTTTCTCTAATTGCATTTTCTACCATGCTCTTTGAATCCCCCTTCCCATCCCTCAGTGATATCTACAATAGATGCTACTGGAGCCTTAACAATACAGCTCTCAAATTCACACCAACTTCTTCTTGTTTTTTTGTTTATTGAGACCGAGTCTCACTCTGTCACTCAGGCTAGAGTGCAGTGGTGTGATCTTGGCTAACTGCAACCCCTGCCCTCCAGCCTGGGTGACAGGGCGAGACTCTGTCTCAAAAAAAAAAGTTAGACTCTTCCTCTCCGAGAGCTGGAAATCTATGTTCCAGGATTCTCCCTGTTCCCCACCTCGCCCAGGTGCCCTTTCCAGCCTAGTTCTCCACCGTTGGCATTCATGAGGAGAAGAGGCTCTGACCTCCTCCTTGACTGCCCTCCTAGGAGGATTCTCTCAGGCTGGGCTCTGCAGCTGGAGGCCCCCATAGAGGCGGTGGGCTCCGCTGAGATGGTGAGTGCCATTCTTTCGGAATGCCACATGACTTCATGTGAGCCCTTTCTACTCCTGAGGTCATCCCTCAGGCAAAGGCAGTCAGGTCTCCCCTCAGCCTCTACCAGCCTCTGTACTCTAGCCTTTCTCCGGGGGAAGCTTCTCTTTGCTGGACACCACCTGGGCAGCCCTAGGTATCCACCCACCACTCCACTTTATGCTCCTTCATAAGGAGGCGTGGGACCCTTGATGCACTCTTCCTGCCCTCAGGCAAAGGGAAAGCCCTCATCCTTTCCTTGTGGGGCATGCTTATCCACAACAGGCTGCTTCATCAGGCCTCCCCTTTTCACAGTTTTTCATTCAAGAAGCACTGCCAGCCTCTGGCTTTATGAGCACTCCCAAAGTCCAGGGATATGTGTCAACTCTCCCAAAATCCCTGAATGTGTGAATATTCAAAACTGAGTCCCTGATAGCCTCCCCAAACCTGCTCCTCCTGCAGTCATCCTACCACAGCTAGTGGCAATTTCATCCTTCCAGATGCTCAAAACCCATGGAGTGATCCTCAGCTGGTCTCTCTTCCCCATACCCTATTTCCAATGTGAGAGCAAATCCATCAGCACCACCTTCAAGATACATCCAGAATCCAACCTCTTGTCATCACCTTCACAGCTATCATCTCTCACCTGAATTATTGTAATATCCTCCCAACACATCTCTCTGCTTCCAATCTGCTCGCTGTATCAGTTATCCAATGCCATATCATCCTTACTGAATATCCTTATTGGATATTATGGAGTACATTTCATAAGAAACAGCCACAAAACCTCAGTGGCCTGCAATACTAATGCCTCTGGGGTTAACTGGGGACCAGCTGATGGCTCACGCCCATGTCTGGGGATCAGCTGGTTGAGTTGACTGAGGCTATTCAGCTCTGCTCTGTGTGTTTCTCATCCTCCAGCGGGCTCGCCTGGGCAGGTTCTCGGGACGATGGCAGAAGCACAAGATAGCAAGTGGAAACCTGCAAGGCTCCTTGAAGCCTTGGCTTGGAACTGCTGTGCCATCACTTCTGTCTCATTATATGGGCCAAAGCAAGTCATATGGTCAAGCCCAGAGTCAGAGTAGAAAGTCTTTACCAAGTACATGGCTGAAATAAAGTCAAGTGGTAGGAAAGTGCATGTTGCCTCTTGTTGGGTGGAGCTGCAATGTGACAGCAAAGCATGTAGATGAGGGGAGGGATGAAGACTGGGACTTTCAACACAATCAGCTTCCCACATCCCTGCCCTGTCCAGCCTCCCATATAGCACTTCACTGCTTAAAACTCTCCCAACTATAAAACTCTTGGAAGAAAATTTAGGGAGAAAGCTTCATAACATTGGATTTCACAATAATTTC
Organism: Homo sapiens; assembly: GCF_000001405.40. Taxonomy (NCBI): domain Eukaryota; kingdom Metazoa; phylum Chordata; class Mammalia; order Primates; family Hominidae; genus Homo; species Homo sapiens. Next base: position 5,668,232 of record NC_000020.11, on the reverse strand, counting down.
TTAGATATCATGCCAAAAGTACAGGCAACAAAAGTAAAAATAGATAAATTAGGTTACACCAAAATTTGAAATTTCTGTGCCTCAAAAGACACTATCAAAAGACTGAAGAGGTAGCCTACAGAATGGGAGAAAATATTTGAAATTATATATATAATAAAGGGTTGATATGCAAGCCATATGAAGGATTCCTACAACAAAACAAACAACCCCAGTAAACATGGGCAAATAAACATTTCTCCAAAGAAGACATACGAATGGCCAACAAGCACATGAAAAGACGCTCAACATCACTAATCACCAGGGAAATGCAAATTGAAACCACAGTGAGATACCAGCGCTCCTTTCTGGAGGCTCTATGAGGAGAAGCTGTTTCTTTACTCATTCAGGCTATTGGCAGAATTCAGTCCCTTTCGGCTGTAGAACTGAGGTCCCCTTGCTGGCTGTGAGTGAGGGCTGTTCCCTGCTTCTAGAGGCTGTCCCTTGGCTTATGGCCCCCTTCCTCTAATTCAAAGCCAACAATGGTAGGCAAGTCCCTTTCATGCTTTGAACCTCCCCTAGAGTCAGGATTTTGCCATGGTGCCCAGGCTGGTCCTGAACTCTTGGGCTCAAGCGATCTGCCCATCTCAGCCTCCCAAAGTTTCTTTTCTACTTTTAAGGGCCCATGTAACTACGTTAGACCTGTCCAGACAGTCCAGGATAATTTCCTAACCCAAAAGTCCATAAATTTAATTGCATTTGCAAAGTCCCCTTTACTAGGTAATGTAGCTTGCGCAGGTCTAAAACCAAGGATTAGGGAATTGACATCTTCAGGAGGATTGTTACTCTCCCTACCACTATGACCCCAGGTGAGAGCGTCAGAAGAACTGCCCAGCTGAGTCCAACCCAAAGACTGACCCACAGAGACACCAGCAAATAAGATGAGTGGTTTGCTATTGCAGCAATAATGTGCAGGCACATCATGACCACAATAATCTCTGATCACAAACAGCCAAAGGAAAATGCCCTTGGAATATGTACTCAAAATGCAAAGGAGTCACTCAAACCTTGAAAGCTCTCAGAGACAAAGTTCTTGGGGCTCACTCAGAAACCTGATCCAATCTTCTTGCTGTTAAACGTTCCTCAAAATGAGAAATGGGTAATCAATCTTGGAAGGACAATGGATTCTCCAAATTAATTATCAGTAAAATGTAGAGGTTGGACTCAAAAGACCATTAAATGTCTACCTATGCTCCATGCTTTTCTGATTATCTCACACCCAGCAGCATGTTGAAAATTGGTTGTGGTGGCCGGGCGCGGTGGCTCAAGTCTGTAATCCCAGCACTTTGGGAGGCCGAGAAGGGCGGATCACAAGGTCAGGAGATCAAGACCATCCCGGCTAATAGGGTGAAACCCTGTCTCTACTAAAAATACAAAAAAAATTAGCCGGGCGTGGTGGCGGGCACCTGTAGTCCCAACTACTCGGGACGCTGAGGCAGGAGAATGGCGTGAACCCGGGAGGTGGAGCTTGCAGTGAGCCGAGATCGCGCCACTGCACTCCAGCCTGGGCGACAGAGCAAGACTCCGTCTCAAAAAAAAGAAGAAAATTGGCTGTGGTGCCAGATGGGTCTCTTCAGGTCTGCCATTTGTCCTGCAAGAGGGTGGACACATTTCACATTGTACAACATCGGTTGAGAAAAAGTCTTCATTGTGAAAAGGTGAGTTCTACAAGACCAGGATAGCAAGACAAAGTCACATGTGGTCTTCAGCCTCTCATCAAATCAAGGACCAATCTGCCATAGCCAAGACAGCTGCTGGACACACAGTAGGCCCATTCCAGTGAAAGGACAGCACCCAAGCTCCAGTGCCTATTGGCCTGGGATACTTGGCCAGTGGGGAAATGCAACAGCCCAGGGACTAGAAGGTCCCCAACTGCCCCAGCCGTAAGGCTCTTGATATTCCTAGACAACTCCATTTTACAGCTGACTTCCCAGATCCGAACCACTTGGTACCAGTCCATGCGATCCTTCGTTGACAAGGGCACTTTCTCATTCTTGCTTTTTATGGGGAGGGGGTGGGGGGAATGGAGACTCGCTCTGTCGCCAGGCTGGAGTGCAGTGGCGTGATCTCGGCTCACTGCAACCTCCGCCTCCCGGGTTCAAGCGATTCTCCCGCCTCAGCCTCCTGAGTAGCTGGGACTACAGGTGGCCACCACCACACCCAGCTAATTTTTGTATTTTTAGTAGAGATGGGGTTTCACCATGTTGGCCAGGCTGGTCTTGATCGTCTTGACCTTGTGATCTGCCCACCTTGGCCTCCCAAAGTGCTGGGATTACAGGCGTGAGTCACTACACCCGGCCCTCATTCTTGCCGTATAAGAAGAAAGACCACAGTAGGGAAGGGAGTTACTCCACTGGAATATCACTCACACCATATCCATAGATGTCCTGGCCCTGACATATCTTCTTTGGGATTATGAGAGAAGGTGGGACTGCGTGGGATTATAAGAGGACGTGGTGACAGTCAAGCTCTTTGTGGAAGGGCAGAGCTACACTGCACAAGGATAAGGGGTGGAGTGAGGATGGAGGGTGTTAGCTGCCCTGCACACTGGTAGGAAGGGTTTACAGCTCTGTAGAGATAGAGCCTCTGAATGGGATGGCTGCATGTATGCAAATGGTTTGGGGCCCTAGGTATTACACAGAGGCCTTGACAAACAGGCTCCACCTAAACTTGAGGGGAGAAGACACTGGAGCTGGGTAGTAAAACTCTACATCTTCCAGTGGATCAGAAGGCAAGACATCTGGACTGAGTAAGCCCTGGGTGCTGGCATAATCCTAAAGAATTGCAGAGGAACCTCTTCACCAGAAAAATGGGGTTGAATTTATCTACCACTAAAGTCAATAGAGGCTGAACCAGATTTAATTTTATTTAGGAATATACAGAAAAGTGACGGGCGGGCATGGCGGCTCACACCTATAATCTCAGCTCTTTGAGAGGCAGAGGCAGGAGGATTGCTTGAGCCCAGCAGTTCAAGACCAGCCTAGGCAACATAGTGAGACCTTGTCTCTACAAAAAAATGAAAAAGTTAGTCCAGTGTGGTGGTGCACACCTGTAATCTCAGCTACTCAGGAGGCTGAGGTGGGAGAATCACTTGAACCTGGGAAATTGAGGCTGTAGTGAGCCGTGGTCACATCACACCACCGCACTCCAGCCTGGGTAACAGAGCAAGACCCCATCTCAAAACAAAAAGAAAAGGGCCCGGGCACGGTGGCTCAAGCTTGTAATCCCAGCACTTTGGGAGGCCGAGGCAGGCAAATTACCCGAGGTCAAGAGTTCAAGACCAGCCTGGTCCACATGGTGAAACCACATCTCTACTAAAAATATATTTTAAAAAATCAGCCAGGTGTGGTGGCGGGCACCTGAAATCCCAGCTACCCGGGAGGCTGAGGCAGAAGAATTGCTTGAACCTGGTAGGCGGAGGTTGTAGTTAGCTGAGATCCCACCACTGCACTCCAGCTTGGGTGATAGAGCGAGACTTTGTCTCCAAAAAAAAAAAAAAACAAAGAAAAAAGTGACAGTTCTTAAGTTTGATTCTCACAGAAAAAATTCATACAGATTCATATATATGAGCATAAAATCATATTAATAAAGGGCTATTATATATAAGATGTAATATCCAAAAGAAAGGACAAGTAAAGGTTGTTTAGGTACTGAAATAGTGAGAGAAATCATTGACAATGAGAGGGTTCTTATATCCCCTCAGATCTTACCAGAAAGGCTGATGCTTCTTACTCTGCTTTGTTTTTGGTTTTTCGGGGTTTGTTTTTGAGACAGGATCTTGCTCTGTCACCCAGGCTAGAGTAATCATGATTAGACAGCATAATCATAGCTCACTGCGGCCTCAACTTCCTGGACTCAAGTAATCCTCCCACCTCAGCCTCCCAAAATCCTGGGATTACAGGTGTGAGCCACTATACCCAGCCTGCTTTATTTTTTTATTTTTTATTCTTGAGATGAATTTTGTTCTTTTTGCCCAGGCTGGAGTGCAGCGGCATGATCTCGGCTTACTGCAACCTCTGCCTCCCGGGTTCAAGCAATTCTCCTCCTCCTTCATTTTTATTATATTTTTTATTTAAAAAATTATTAACTTACAAAAGAGAGAGAGAGAGAGAGAGAGAGAGAGAGACGAGGTCTCATTATGTTGCCCAGGCTGGTCTCAAACTCCTGGCCTCAAGCGATCCTCCTGCCCTGGCCTCCCAAAGTACTGGGATTATAGGTGTGAGCCACCGTGCCCAGCCTAGGCTGCTTTCTTAAAAGCCTCACTTAGTAGATCTTAGAGACTTTGCAAAGAAACATACTTCAGTAGTCTGTCATGTTGGAAATTGAAAGTCAACTTAAGCATCATGTCCAAAATTGCAAAAACCATCATTTGCCAAGCAATTTGTTTTTGTTTTTGTTTTTTTGAGACAGAGCTTCAGTCTTGTTGCTCAGGCTGGAGCGCAGTGGCACAATCGCGGCTCACTACAACCTCCACCTCCCAGGTGCAAGTGATTCTCGTGCCTCAGCCTCTGGAGTAGCTGGGATTACAGGATGCCAAGCAATTTGTTTTGAACAGTTGCCTTGCCTATGAAAGGCAGCCAGTAGAAGGTAACATTGTATTGTGGCAATGTAAACACAGACTATCTTCTTATAAACACATGCCCTAAAGACCATGAGCCGCTCATTCAACCTTGGGAGTCAGCAATTGCATGTGGATGTAATGACTGGAAGTTTTCAGATAGGAAAAAAACACAAGGTGTGTCTTTTCAGGGTGAACTAGGGAGATTAATGGTTACATTAATATCCAACTATTAGACATATTTACTGCTGCAGGAGAACCATCTCCTTACACCATAGCTTGGCCTCATGATAGTGGAGAAAATCACCTGCATATATAAATATGAAATGTGACTGACTATAATGGGGCTATAATGTTGAAGATTTTTAATGATCAGTCAAGGTCAATGGATTACAAGCTTTTGAAGTGTCTAAAGTTTGTCCCAGCCGACGATTATCTGGATAGAGAGGGACTTAGAGGAGTGTCTTAGTCTGCTTTGGCTGTCATAGTAAAATATCACAGACTGGGTGGCTGAAGCAACAGAAATGTATTTTCTCACAGTTCTGGAGGCTGAAAACCTAAGATCAGGATAACAGCAAGGTCAGGGTGTGGTGAGGGCTCTCTTCCTGGCTGGCAGATGGCTGCCTTCTAGCTGTGTGCCCACATGGCCTTTCCTCAGTGCACGCATGTGGAGAGACAGCAATCTCTCTCTTTTCCTCTTTCTATAAGGCTACCAGTCCTACGCCTCCACCCTTTTGGCCTCACTTAACCTTAGCATGAAACAATAGCAACCTACAGTAAGAGAGGGTGGAATCTGCAGCTCAGAGCAAGGAGGGCTGGAATATTCAAAGGAGGCTTGATTATGTATTTATTTATTTACTTACTTTAGAGGCAGAATCTCATTCTGTCACCCAGACTGGAGTCCAGTGGCATGATCATAGCTCACTGTAGCCTCAAACTCCTGGGCTCAAGCCATTCTCCCACCTTAGCCTCCTGAGTGGCTGGGACCACACGCACACGTGACCATGCCAGGCTAATTTTTTTTTTTTTTTTTTTTAGACAGAGTCTCACTCTGTCCCCCAGGCTGGAGTGCAGTGGCGTGACTTCAGCTCACTGCAACCTCTGCCTCCTAGGTTCAAGCAATTCTCCTGCCTCAGCCTCCCGAGTATCTGGGATTACATGTGCCTGCCACCACGCCCAGCTAATTTTTGTATTTTTAGTAGAGACGGGGTTTCACCATGTTGGCCAGGCTGGTCTCGAACTCCTGACCTTGTGATCCACACTCAGCCTCCCAAAGTGCTGGGATTACAGGCATGAGCCACTGTACACGGCCATTTTTTTTTATTTGTATGGATTTAGGAGGCACAAGTGCAGATTTCTTATATGCACATACTGCGTTGTGGTAAACCTGAGCTTTTAGTGTACCCATCACCCAAATAGTGAACATTGTACCCACTAGATTTTTTTTTTTTTACATTACAGGTGTGAGCCTCCACGCCTGGCCAGTAATTTTTTTTTTTTTTTAAGAGACAGGGCTGGGCACGGTTGCTCACTCCTGTAATCCCAGCACTTTGGGAGGCCGAGGCAGGCAGATCCCGAGGTCAGGAGATCGAGACCATCCTGACTAACACAGTAAAACCCCATCTCTACTAAAAAAATTAGCCAGGCGTGGTGGCAGGCGCCTGTAGTCCCAGCTACTTGAGAGGCTGAGGCAGGAGAATGGCTTGAACCCAGGAGGCGGAGCTTGCAGTGAGCTGAGATCATGCCACTGCACTCCAGCCTGGGTGACAGAGCGAGACTCCATCTCAAAAAAAAAAAAAAAAAAAGAGAGACAGAGTCTCGCTCTGTCTCCCAGGCTGAAGTGCAGTGGTGCAATCATAGCTCACTGCAACCTGGAACTCCTGGGCTCAAGTAATTCTCCTGCCTTAGCCTCTCAAGTCGCTAGGAATACAGGCATGTGCCACCACACCCAGCTAATTTTTACTTTTATTTTTGTAGAGATGAGGTCTCATTGTGTTGCCCAGGCTGGTCTGAAAACTCCTGGGCTCAAGTAATCCTCCCACCCTGGCCTCTCAAAGTGCTGGAATTACAGGTGTGAGCCACTGCACTCAGCCTACAATAAGTAATTTTTCAAACCTCATTCCCCTCCCACTCTCCCGCCTTTCAGAGTCTCCAATGTCTACTATTTCATTCTGAATGTCCATGTGTACTCATTGTTTAGTTCCCACTTATAAGTAAGAACAGGCAGTATTTGACTTTCTGTTTCTGAGTTATCTCCCTTAGGATAGTAGCCTTCCATTCCATCCATTTTGCTGCAGATAATATGATTTTATTCTTTTTTATGGCTGAGTCGTATTTCATGGTGTGTGTGTGCGTGTATGTATACACTACATTTTCTTTATTCAATCATCCATTGATAGACACTTAGGTTGATTCTGCATCTTTGCTATTGTGAATAAATAGTGCTGCAATAAACATGAGTGCAAATATCTTTAGTATATAATGATGTCTTTCCCTTTGGGTATGTATGCAGTAGGGGGATTGCCGGGTCGAATGGTAGTTCTTTGAGAAATCTTCAAAGAAGACTTTTTTTTTTTTTTTTGAGATGGAGTCTTGCTCTGTTGCCCAGGCTAGAGTGCAGTGGCACAATCTCGGCTCACTGCAACCTCTGCCTCTGGACTTAAGCAATTCTCATGTGTCAGCTTCCTGAGTTGCTGGATTACAGGCACGCACCACCACGCCGGGCTAATTTTTGTATTTTAGAGATGGGGTTTCACCATATTGGCCAGGCTGGTCTTGAACTCCTGGCCTCAAGTGATCCACCCATCTCCACCTCCCAAAGTGCTAGGATTATAGGCGTGAGCCGCCACTCCCTGCCCAAGGAAGACTTCCTAAAGTTAGGACTATCTTGGGACAATAAAGCTTAATTGTAATTTTCCTAAAGCATGAATACAGTCAAGTAAATGCCTTGTTCATTGGCTTCCCATTGCTCTTCAGAGAAATGCCCAGACTTTTTACCACTGTCTCCTGACCGTCCATTCCAGTGCTCTGCCTCATCTATTGCCAGGCTCTAATGCAATCCTACTGAGCTTCTTCCAGTCCCAAGGAGCTTGCTTTCACCTTCAGGCATGTGCCTACATTGTTTTCTCTGCCTGGAACACTTATCCAACCAATACCTCACACTTCATCCCTCCACCCTCAGTTTGGGCCTGCTAGCTGATCTTATCCTTGAGGTCTCAATTGAAAGAATGCTTCCTCCAGGAACACATAACCTTATAACCTTCCACCAGGGCTGGTTATGTGTACTTTCTTTTTTTTTTTTTTCTTTTTTTTTTCAGACAGAGTCTCACTCTGCCACCCATGCTGGAGTGCAGTGGCACCATCTCAGCTCACTGCAAGCTCCGCCTCCCAGGTTCAAGCGATTCTCCTGCCTCAGCCTCCCAAGTAGCTGGGATAACAGGCATGCGCCACCATGCCGGGCTAATTTTATATTTTTAGTAGAGACGGGGTTTCTCCATGTTGGTCAGGCTGGTCTTAAACTCCCAACCTCAGGTGATCCGCCTGCCTCGGCCTCCCAAAGTGCTGGGATTACAGGTGTGAGCCACCGCACCTGGCCACGTGTAATTTTTATGCTCACTATCCACCATGGTAGTGAGAATAGTATCATAACCTCCCACACACCCATCCCCTGGCTTCATTTGGTGATAGAAATCATCAAATATTCCATCAGTGAGCTGAGATGGTGCCACTGCACTCCAGCGTGGGGTCCACACTCATATCTACAAGTGACTCTCTAACCACAAACTCACTACGGCTGACATTCTTTCCCTCGAAGCGAACTCACCCAAATGCACTGACAGACAGCCCAGATGTACCACTGATATGGTCTGACCTCATTGTAGGGCTCTTCAAGAGCTGGAGAACTGACAGTGTGCTGTTCTTAAAGGGAAAGAAGGGCAAGGATCTATGGCACCTCCAGGGGGAAGCTCTGGGCCCCACCCCAGCGCAGGCTTTGAGGGCATCTCAGGAAGTTTATAACAGGCTGCAAGAAATGTTTGTGCACGTGCAGTCTATGTCCCTGTGAGGCACACTGTACCAAAAGCTGGATCTAAGTTTAGGTCGTTTCTGAGATCTTCCCCCCTTTCAAGATCCTCTAAAAATAGCTTCTCTCTTACTTAGGAAATCTGTCTTGCTATGGAACATAAATATGCTGATTTGAGTCCAACAGAAAGAAGCGTTACTGCCTGAGAGAAAAACCAGGGCTCTTAGTGAGGGACATGGGTGGGTAAGGAACTATCTGAAATTATTTTCCTTGTCCTTTAGAATGTATGCAGTGGCCCCCACCTCCCCCACCCCCAACCCTGGCAAGGTTCTACACTAAAAATGCAGTGGAGGGGGGCTTCACCGCTGAAATTTGGTGAATCTAGGAGGGAGATACGGGCAGCGTTCCAAGGCCTGCTTTGCAACACAGAATGTCAGTGAGAGAAATGCTGAAAAACAAAGAGGAAGGGTTGATATTTCCATGTTGGCAGTTGATCACATTCAGTCTTGTTCAGTGAAGCCGCTTCAGGGCTGTTGCCATGGGAACCAGACATGATTCAGTAGTTTGTTGAATGCAGCTTCCATGGGCTGAAGTTCTGAAGCTGTATCAGGGTTTCCCCCTCTTGTCAGGTGTTTTGAAGCTGCCAGAGTATTTTCTTCCAATACATGTTTTTTTTTTTTAATTTTTAATTTTTTTTTCTTTAACAATACAGATGGAGTTTCTCTATGTAGCCTAGGCTGGTCTTGAACTCCCGGGTCCAAACAATCCTCCCGCCCCAGCCTCCTAATTTTTAATGTTTATTTTGTGTAGAGACAGGATCTCACTACAGTGCCCAGGCCGGCCCAAAACTCCTCTGCTCAAGTGATGCTCCCACTTTATATGCCCAAAGTGTTGAGATTACAGGCATGAGTCCCTGTGCTTGACCCCAATACACGTGTTTTTATTTGTATTTTGTAATGTTGTCCTGTTTTAAAATATTTAATTTTACATTTTTGAGACAGGGTCTTGCTTTGTCTCCCAGGCTGGAGTGCAGTAGCATGAACATAGCTCACTGCAGCCTCCACCTCCTGGGCTTAAGTGATCCTCCCACCTCAGCCTCCCAAGTAACTGGGACCACAGGTGTGCGCCACCACCCCTGGATAATTTTTTTAATAATTTTTTTTTGAGACAGAATCTTGCTTTGTTGCCCAGGCTGGAGTGCAGTGGCACATCTCTGCTCACTGCAACCTCCACCTCCCAGGTTCAAATGATTCTTGTGCCTCAGCCTCCCGAGTAGCTGGGACTACAGGTGTGCACCTGTAATTTTTTTGTATCTTTAGTAGAGATGGGATTTCACCACATTGGCTGGGCTGGTCTCGAACTCCTGGCCTCAAGTGATCCACCTGCCTTGGCTTCCCAAAGGGCTAGGATTATAGTTGTGAGCTTAAATAATATTTGCAGAGACAAGATCTCACTATGTTGCCTAGGCTGGTCTCAAACTCCTGAGCTCAAGCAGACCTCCTGCCTCAGCCTCCCAAAGTGCTGGGTTTACAGGTGTGACCCACCATGCCAGGCCACAAGTGTTTTTAATTTCACTATCTATGAACACACAAAACAGCTGAAATAAAATGGCTAAATGCATGAGCCTAATATTTGTAGGATTTTAATTATTTTGTCAGGAATGAACTAATTTGGCACATTTCCCAGAAGGAGCCTGTGCTTGTAAATTGCATGTGGTTGCATGCTGAATTCTGCATCCCAATGTAAAAGACGGAGATCACCAAGGTCAGCCCTGATTTGCAGCCTTTGCTCTTTCCTGTCCGTGCTGGTTCAGGAAAACATTCATCATCGCGGTGACTTCCTTGTAACCTTTCCAAGTTCTTCACGTTCCTCATTTGTTCAGACTGGACAGTTCTCTGGTGAGAGTCTGGCCAGACATCTTGTCTCTTTAACCACCCAATGAGGTGTATCACCACCGGTTTCCTCCTTGCCTTCAGCCCTCTTAGTTGCTCACAAGACACACGTGGATAGGCAGCTGATACTTAAAAACTCTGATCTGGGATTCTTTCCAGAAATGCCTACAGCGGTCAGTGTGTAGAAATCAGCATACATTGAACAGGAAGCGATGAGGTGGGGGCTGTAGCAGTGGCCTCTGAAAGGACTGAGTTGAGATCCAGGATTGGCCTCTCAGTGACTTGTTTCCTTTTCCATGACTGCTTCCAGATTCCTGGGATGTGCTGCCCAGATTCCTCCTCGGGCTGGAAGGATTTCTTCTCTCAGCTGCTGGAAGTGTTGTAAGCTGATGGCTGATTGCCTCTCCAGGAACTACCCTCTTCTAAAAAAGGGGCCACCCACCCCACTCCAGGCTTTGCTTCCTTCCTGGGCATCCCACAGACCATACCTGGTTTGTGGAGGGGATGGGAGAAAGGCCTGGCCCCCTCACTCCCGCCCACCTTGCTCCAATGCAGGCACGTCTGAAGGGTCACCTGGCTGGCTGCAGCCCTTACTCTGCCTCGCAGCCCAGCTTCTCCCTGTGCCCTCTCTTGCTATCTGGCCTTCCCTTCCACAGGTGCAGGTCTTAAGGACACCCCCTAATAAACCTGCACATGAATGCTCTTCTCAGAATCAGCTCCTGGGATACAAATCTGCAACAACTCTGAACTTCCCAAAGGAAGTTCCTCCCCTATTTATGGAGTGCAATTTTGGAGTGATTTATTCCATACTCAGCCTCAGGTTTAAGGCATTAGGAAAAGCCAGCCTCTCCTCCTTCCCTGGGCCACAGTTATTTCTGAATCAGGGCAGTGAGACAATGAGAAGCCGGCTGAAGCCTTTCAAAAAAGTAGCTTTCCGGTAGGGCGCGGTGGCTCACGCCTGTAATCCCAGCACTTTGGGAGGTCAAGGTGGGCGGATCACGAGCTCAGGAGATCGAGACCATCCTGGCTAACACGGTGAAACCCCGTCTCTACTAAAAATACAAAAAAATTAGCCGGGAGTAGTGGCGGGCGCCTGTAGTCCCAGCTACTCAGGAGGCTGAGGCAGGAGAATGGCGTGAACCCGGGAGGCGGAGCTTGCGGTGAGCCGAGATCGCGCCACTGCACTCCAGCCTGGGGGACAGAGCGAGACTGTTTCAAAAAACAAACAAACAAAAAAGTAGCTTTCCTAATTTTCCAAAAGATCCACCAGAAGAGAAGTTTCTACATCATTGGATGTGAATGAGGAACGTGCATGGAGCCTTTGATGAGGAAAGACGCTTGCTGAGATCACAGCTGACCTGGGAAGGAGAAGGCGAGAAATAATCACAAGATTTGACCTACTGGCTCACACTACACCTGCCCAGCCACATCGGAAGACAGCCTTCCCCTGGATTTCCCAATTTGTGAGCCAATATGTTTACTCTTAGGCTAGTTGACTTCAAGTTCCCCATCTGTAAAATGGCATTAATGATACTGCAGCCTACCTTATGGGGATGTTTTAGAGAATAAACCATCAATGCATTCAGCACATAGAAAGTGCTCCACAAATGTTACTGATTTTTTTTTTTTTAAGACAGGGTCTTGCTCTGTTGTCCAGAATGAAGTGCAGAGTGTTGTCCGGGCTGGAGTGCAGTGGCGAGATCATAGCTCACTGCAGCCTCAACCTCCCAGGCTCAAGTGATCCTCCTGCCTCAGCCTCCTGAATGAGTAGCTAGGACTATAGGTGTGTGCCACTAAGCCTGGCTAATTTTTTGTAGAAATGAGGTTTCACTATTTTGCCCAGGCTGGTCTTGAACTCCTGGGCTCAAGCAAACCTCTGGCCTCAGCCTCCCAAAGTGTTGGGATTACAGGCATGAGCCACTGCACCTGGCCTGTTCCTGATTCTTATGGTTTTCAAAACCCATGGCTGATTTACATGATGAAAGAGAGTGTGTTTTCTTTAAGCATGGGTTCCTTGAAGGTACAAAGGTCTTTCTTTGACAATTGATACTTTCCTTCAGCCTGTACTTTGAAGTTTGATCCAGAGCTGAGGTTTTCAAACAATTTTAAAGCAATGACCTTTTATTATTTATTACTATTATTATTATTTTGAGACGGGTCTTGCTCTGTCACCCAGGCTGGAGTGCGGTGATGCAATTATGTCTCACTGCAGCCTCAGACTCCTAGCCTCAAGTAATTCTCCCACCTCGCCTCCTGAGTAGCTGGGACTCCTGGCACGTGCCCCCATGCCCATGCCTGGCTAATTTTTAAAATTCTTGTAGAGACAGCATCTTGCTATGTTGCCCAGTCTGATCTCAAACTCCTAGCCTCAAGCAATCCTCCTGCCTCGGCCTCCCGAAGTGAGCAGTGCCATTTTAAAAAATTGAAATCCTGGCCAGGCGCAGTGGCTCATGCCTGTAATCCCAGCACTTTGGGAGGCTGAGGTGGGTGGATCACAAGGTCAAGAGATCAAGACCATCCTGGCAGCATGCTGAAACCCCGTCTCTACTAAAAATACAAAAATTAGCCAGGCATGGTGGTGTGCACCTGTAGTCCCAGCTACTCAGGAGGCTGAGGCAGGAGAATCACGTGAACCCAGAAGGCAGAGGTTGCCGTGAGCCAAGATCGCACCACTGCACTCCAGCCGGGCAATAGAGTGAGATTCTGTCTCAAAAAAAAAAAAAAATTTGAAATCCTGTGTAGAAACTGTAGCTATGATATACATAATAATAATTTTTAAAAACGTATAAAGCACTTACCAGGTACCATGCTTAGCATTTTACTTACAGATTCTGTGTGTACACTTGCGTTATATATGAGTCACTGAAACCTCCCAACAACCCCATGAGGTAAGCACTATTATTATCTCTATTGTAGTTCTTAGGGAGCCTCTCCCTCTGCACTCACAAGAGTTCAGAGGATCTCATGTGGAATTTGATGACTATGACTCTCTATTTACTCTGAATAATGGATACCTTGAATCAGCTTTGGGTCACAAGACTTTTGTTAAAAAGCAGGAAATAGAATATATGTAGGACAAATAGCCCGAAGTAATAACTACACACACACACACACACACACACACAATATTCATTTTGGAGCTTTAGCTGGGTCTTTGTGTAGCTGACAGCAGTTGTTGAGAGGCACAGCAGCTCAGTCACAGACCTCTTTCATATTCCAAACAGGCTTGAGAAGACACAACTGGAAAGGGGAAAGGGGAAGGCAAATTAAGAAAAGGAATTAATATTGCCTTATACAGAAATGTGAAGGCCAGGCACAGTGGCTCACGCCTGTAATCCCAGCACTTTGGGAGGCTGAGGCGGGCAGATCACGAGGTCAGGAGATTGAGACCATCCTGGCTAACACGGTGAAACCCCATCTCTACTAAAAAATACAAAAAAAATTAGCCAGGCGTGGTGGCGGGCACCTGTAGTCCCAGCTACTTGGGAGGCTGAGGCAGGAGAATGGCGTGAACCCAGGAGGCAGAGCTTGCAGTGAGCCAGGATCACGCCACTGCACTCCAGCCTCGTGACAGAGCGAGACACCGTCTCAAAAAAAAAAAGAAATGTGAAATTGTATATTCATAGGGGAACAGAAACTGTGCAAATTATAGGGGGTGTTTGGAAAACATTTTACTTCCTCCATTTGCACTTAGACCGCACTGAGAATTTATGTTTGTCTTTAGGAGACTATGTGTGTGTGTTTGTGTGTATATGATCCTTCGGTTCCCTGGTGGGCAACTAAGAAATTAAGAGTCGTGCCTGAGCACAGTGGCTCACACCTGTAATCCCAGCACTTTGGGAGGCTGAGGCAAGTGGATCACCTGAGGTCAGGAGTTCGAGACCAGCCTGGCCAACATGGCGAAGCCCTGTCTCTACCAAAAATATAAAAAATTAGCCAGGCATGGTGGCACAAGCCTGTAATCCCAGTTACTAGGGGAGGCTGAGGCAGGAGAATTGCTTGAACTGGGGAGGCAGAGGTTGCAGTGAGCCGAGATTGTGCCACTGCACTCCAGCCTGGGCAACAAAGCTAGACTCTGTCTCAAAAAAAGAAATTAAGAGTTGTATCTGCAACTACACTGGTAGGAAGATTTGGAGTTAGGGCATCCACATCCACACTGGACTCTTTGATGAGATTAGGAATGCCAAGACTTCGAGAACTGTCCTGACCCCCTTGCCCCAAGGCATTACTCCAGACCTAGTAAATCAGTTTCAGGACCATGTCTTCTGCTCAGGGAGGGACATAGACAAGGACCCAAAACTAAGTCCTGTGGGCAGGGGCTGGGGTTTTGAATGGGCTATAGAGCTATGCATGGCAGTCAAAGAGGATGTTCGACAGGAAGTAGGAAGTGAGTTGGTGGGGGAAGATTTAGAAACTGAAGTGTGCCAACAAGAAAACCCAGTGAAGATTTGAACTTTTCAGATTTTCCTTTTTTTTTTTTTTTTTTTTTGAGACAAAGTCTCCATCTGTCACTCAAGCTGGAGTGCAGTGGTGCCATCTCGGCTCACTGCAACCTCCACTCCCAGGGTCAAGCAATTCTCCAGGCTCAGCCTCCTGAGTAGCTGGAATTACAGGCATGCACCACGATGCCCAGCTAAGTTTTGTATTTTTAGTAGAGATGGGGTTTCACCATGTTGGCCAGGCTGGTCTCAAACTCCTGACCTCAAGTGATCCGCCCACCTTGGCCTCTCAAATTGTTGGGATTATAGGTGTGAGCCAACATGCCCAGCCAGATTTTCCCTTTAACAAGAGGAAACTTCTTACATAGCCTAATTCTTATATGCTTTACTCATATATTTCGTACGTAGTTTGAGATTACCACAACCATTTAATGAAATCTGATACACTCACATACCTTGTGAATCATGGAGATTTGGGGGGATGGGACATGGGGGACAGGCTGAAAAATGGTGTGGCAGTCCAAGGCAAAGAAGTGAGAGACAGGCCTCTCAGGCCTAGGGAACTGGTGGGATCCAGGGTGTGGATGTCAAACAATCCTTCAGTGCCCTACATATAATTTAAAGTGCTGCGCTTCAGGAATCCAGAAAACTGACTATTGAGTTATAAGCATAATTGGGCCAGACTCAGTGGCTCTCGCCTGTAATCCCAGCACTTTGGGAGGCTGAGACAGAGGGATCACCCGAGGTCAGGGGTTTGAGACCAAACTGGCCAACATGGTGAAACTCCGTCTCTACTAAAAATACAAAAGTTAGCTGGGCATGGTGGCGCATGCCTGTAGTCCCAGGTTCTTGGGAGGCTGAGGCAGGAGAATTGCTTGAACCTGGGAGGTAGAGGTTACAGTGAACTGGGATTGTGCCACTACACTCCAGCCTGGGTGACAAAGTGAGTCTCTGTCTCAAAAAAAAAAAAAAAATTGGAAAGTTTATTTTGCAAAGGTTAAGGACCTGCCAGTAACACAGCCTCAGGAGGTCCTAATGACATATGCCCAAGGTGGTCAGGGTACAGCTTGGCTTTATATATTTTAGGGAGACATGAGATAACAATCAATACATTTAAGATGTACATTTGTTCGGTCTGGAAAGGTAGAACCACTCAAAGCAGGGGTTTCCAGGTCTTAGGTAGATAAGATGCAAACGGTTGCATTATTTTGAGTCCCTGATCAGCCTTTCGCTGAATACACAATTTACATGTGAGAGCAGGGTAGAGGAATAGTCACTTATGCCTTAGCCTGGCTCAGTGAATCTGCATTTTTCCATAAACAGTAGGGCAATTAGATACACATTTGTCTCAGGTGAGCAGAGGGATGACTTTGATTTCTGGCCTTTGTCCCACACCTGTGAAGATAGCTTTCAATTTACATTGCCAGGGTGAAATCCAACAGAACTATTTTAGAGTAAAGATCTTGAGGCTCACAGGGAATTTCTTTGTGGGCAAACTGCAAGGGAGGTATGTAGCTTTTTTTTTTTTTTTTTTTAAATCTTTGTAGCTATCTTATTTAGGAATAAAATGGGAGGCAGGTTTGCCTGACGCAGTTCCCAGGTTGACTTTTCCCTTTGGCTTAGTTACTTTGGCGTCACGAGATTTAGTTTGCTTTCGCATACCCAGGTCCATAACATCCAAGTGCATTTTTTGGTAGGGGTTGCTGCATGGCAGGATGTCAAGGTGGCAAGAGAGAAGCGTGGTGTGGGACGAGAAAGAAGGGGCTCCAGCTCAAGACGCCAGCAGCCAGTAGTGTCACTTCAGCCTCTTGGTGCCTCAGATTTATCTTCTTTACCATGAAAGGGTTGCAAATTTCACCATTAGAGATTCATTTTTGTATCCTAATGTCTTTCCTCCGGCTAAAATACACATACCAGCCAGGTGTGGTGACTCATGCCTGTAATCCCAACACTTTGGGAGGCCGAGGTGGGTGGATCACTTGAGGTCAGGAGTTTGAGACCAGCCTGGCCAACATGGTGAAACCCCATCTCTACTAAATATACAAAAATTAACTAGGCATGGTGGTGGGCGCCTGTAATCCCAGCTACTTGGGAGGCTGAGGCAGGAGAACTGCTTGAACCCGGGTGGTGGAGGTTGCAGTGAGCCAAGATCGTGCCACTGCACTCCCTCCTGGGCAACAGAGTGAGACTCCGTCTCAAAAATAATAATAACAACAATAATAATAATATTAAAGCAAAACCAGTTGTGATGGCTCAGGCCTGTAGTCCCAGCACTTTGGGAGGCCGAGACGGGGTTCAAAACCAGCCTGGCCGACATGGTGAAACCCCATCTCCACTAAAAATACAAAAATTAGCCGGGCATGGTGGTGTGCACCTGTAATCCCAGCTACTTGGAGGCTGAAGCACGAGAATCACTTGAACCCAGGAGGCAGAGGTTGCAGTGAGCTGAGATTGCACCACTGAACTCCAGCCTGGGTGACAGAGGGAGACTCCATCTCAATAATAATAACAATAATCATAAGGCAAAAAGAAAGGTCTAATCATTAGGTATTTATGCTAAAGTGAACTTATTCAAGAACAGGCTTGGATGGAGGAGAAAAGATAATTGGAAGGGATGTGGTGTAGACCTCTAAGGTGGAGGATGAGCACAGAAAGGGGAGGTCGCACAGACCAACGTAAATGTCTGGTGAGAACTAATCAGCTGAGTGAAAGAAAAATAAAGAGATTTGACAGTGTCACCTTTTCAAGAGAATAAGGAAGTAGAATCTACATACATGTCACAGCAGTAAGAGTTGAGTTTTACTAAATGTTTTTCTATTGATAAACAGTTGCTACAAAAGCACCCTTGGGTTTCTTCCTGGGTTGTGGTGTGAGTCAAATATACTTCAGAGTGGAAAAACTAATTTCTTTATTCCTTTTTTCTTTTCTCTCTTTCTTTTTATTTCTTTTTCTTTTCTTTTTTTTTTTTTTTTTTGAGACAGGGTCTCGCTCTGTCACCCAGGCTAGTGTGCAGTGGCGTGTTCTCAGTTCACTGCAACCTCAACCTCCCAGGCTCAAGCAATCCTCACACCTCTGCCTCCTAAGTAGCCACCATGCCAGGCTAATTTTATCTTATTTTTTTCTTGCAGAGACAAGGTCTCACTATGTTGCGCAGGCTGGTCTCCAACCCCTGGACTTAAGCAATCTTCCTGCCTTAGTCTCCCAAAGTGTCAGGATTACAGACGTGAGCCTCCATGCCTGGCCTAATTTCTTTCTTTCAGTTTTTCTCCCTAAAATATACAGTTGTTGTTCCTTTTCTTTTCTTTTCTTTTTGAGACAGAGTCTCGCTCTGTCACCCAGGCTGGAGTGCAGTGGCGTGATCTCAGCTCACTGCAACCTCCGCCTCCCAGATTCAAGCGATTCTCCTGTCTCAGCCTCCCAAGTAGCTGGGATTATAGGCACAAGCCACCATGTCAGGCTAATTTTTGTATTTTTAGTAGAGATGGGTTTTTACCATGTTGGTCAGGCTGGTCTGAACTCCTGACCTCGTGATCCACCTGCCTCGGCGTCCCAAAGTGCTGGGATTACAGGCCCACGCGTGAGCCACCACGGCCTCATTTTCTAATACAGTCATTCATTAAGAATGTAGGAGCCGGGTGCGGTGGCTCATGCCTGTAATCCCAGCACACTGGGAGTCCGAGAAGGGTGGATCACCTGAGGCCAGAAGTTCAAGACCAGCCTGGTCAACATGGTGAAACCCCGTCTCTACTAAATATACAAAAATTAGCTGGGCGTGGTGGCGGGCACCTGTAATCCCAGCTACTCAGGAAGCTGAGGCAGGAGACTCGCTTGAACCCGGGAGGCGGAGGTTGCAATGAGCCAAGATCACACCATTGTGCTCCAGCCTGAGCAACAACAGTGAAACTTTGTCTCAAAAAAAAAAAAAAAAAAGAACGTAGGAAAATTCTACTCTGTTTTATCAAAACTCCAAAACAAAAAAATTGGTCAATGATTTTTTAAAACAAAAATTTCAGGCCAGGTACAGTGTCCCAGGCCTGTTCAAGACCAGCCTGAGAAACATGGTGAAATCCTGTCTCTGCAAAAAATAAAAAAAATAGCCAGATGTGGTGGTGCAGGCCTATAATCCCAGCTACTTGGGAGGCTGAGGCAGGAGAATCACTTGAACCCGGGCTGTCAAGGCTTCAGTGAACCTAGATGGCACCACTGCATTCCAGCCTGGGCAACAGAGCGAGACCCTGTCTCGAAAACAACAACAACAAAAAAGTTGAATTAGAAGTCATAGGTTTTTGGCTGGGTACAGTGGCTCATGCCTGTAATCCCAGCATTTTGGGAGGTTGAGGTGGGTGGATCACAAGGTCAGGAGTTCCAGACCAGCCTGGCCAATATGGTGAAACCCTGTCTCTACTAAAAATACAAAAATTAGCTGGGCGTGGTGGTGCGTGCCTGTAGTCCCAGCTGCTTGGGAGGCTGAGGTAGGAAAATTGCTCGAACCCGGGAGGTGGAGGTTACAGTGAGCTGAGATAGCACCACTGCACTCCAGCTTGGGTGACAGAACAAGACTCCATCTCAAAGAAAATAATAATAATAATAATAATAATAATAATAATAATAGTAATAATAGAAGTGATAGGTTTTTGTTTGTTTTTGTTTTTAGACAAGAACTTACTTTGTTGCCCAGGTTGGAGTGCAGAGGTGCCATCTCAGCTCGCTGCAACTTCTGCCTCCTGGGTTCAAGCAGTTATCGTGCCTCAGCCTCCCGAGTACCTGGAATTACAGGCGCACGCCACCACACCCGGCTACTTTTTATATTTTTGGTTGAGATGGGCTTTCACCATGTTGGCCAGGCTGGCCTCAAACTCCTGGCCTCAAGTCATCTGCCCACCTCGGCCTCCCAAAGTGCTGGGATTACAGACATGAGCCACTGCATCCAGCCTAGATTTTTTTCTTTTTTAAGTGAGAATGTTGGAGGAGGTGATCCCTCAGGTCTCTTCCAGCTCTGAGATATTTTGTTTTGTTTTGTGTCTTGCTTTACTTTCTGGAAGTGACAGTGTTTGAAGGAGGCCCATGCCTGTGGGACCAAATTAAACAGAGCTCAGAGCTGGCCAATCTGTCTGACTCATTGAGAACAGAAGCACACACCCTGTTAGCATTTGTTGAGCAATGAAGACAGAGTTGCGTCTTGTGTCTCCTGTCTCATAGCATTTCTTAAGTTCTTTCAGAATTTCACCAGACACTGAATTCGAGATAGAGCTGATGTCGTTTTTTTTCTTTTTTTTTTTTTGAGATGGAGTTTCGCTCTTGTTGCCCAGGCTGGAGTGCAGTGGCGCCATGTCGGCACACTGAAATCTCCTCATCCCGGCCGGGTTCAAGCAATTCTCCTGCCTCAGCCTCCCAAGTAGCTGGGACTACAGGCACCCGCCACCACACCCGGCTAATTTTTTGTATTTTTAGTAGAGACGGGGTTTCACCATGTTGGCCAGGATGGTCTCAAACTCTTGACCTCAGGTGATCCACCCGCCTTGGTCTCCCAAAGTGCTGGGATTACAGCATGAGCCACTGCACCTGGCCAGAGCTGGTGTAATTTTCTACATAGAAGTTAAACTGGGTAACTCAGTTCAGAGCCCAGTACGAACAACCCCTTTAGAAGCAGCCAATCTGGAGGCAATATAGGTCATAAAAAAAAGAAAAATAGAAGCAGCCAAGAAAATGGCCTTAGCAGCTACAGCATGCTTGGACAGTTTAGGGAAATCTCTTAGCCCAGTCATGATTCTTATGGTTAAAACAACGACAGCAACAAAAATATTTCTCTTGATATTCTTTTAAAAGTTTTCACTGAGTCCTGAATAGAGACTGTATTAAAGTGGCATGAGAAAATGCAAAAGCATTTCAGCTCTACCTCAAGCTTTCTTCCTTATAGAAACAAATATAAACAAACAACTAACCACATTTCCTCCTCAACGTTTCCTCAGGGACAGATGAGCCTGGGAATTTTGCCCTTTATGGTATCTAGTGACTCACTTTTCTTTTTTTTTGAGATGGAGTCTCGCTCTGTCGCCCAGGCTGGAGTGCAGTGGCATGATCTCTGCTCACTACAAGCTCCACCTCCCGGGTTCACGCCATTCTCGTGCCTCAGCCTCCCGAGTGGCTGGGACTACAGGTGCCCACCACCATGCCCAGCTAATTTTTGTATTTTTAGTAGAGATGGGGTTTCACCATCTTGGCCAGGCTGGTCTTGAACTCCTGACCTTGTGATCCACCCACATCAGCCTCTGGACATGCTGGGATTACAGGTGTGTGCCGTCGCACCCAGCTGCACTTAATTTTTAATTTAACTTTATTATTTTTTTGAGACAGGGTCTCAGTCTGTCACCCAGTCTGGAGTGCAGTTGCATAATCACGGTTCGCTCGACTTCCTGGGCTTAGGTGATCCCCCCACCTCTGCGTCTTGAGTAGCTGGGACTACAGGTGCATGCCACCACACCTGGCTAATTTTTCTATTTTTGTAGAGATGGGGTTTCATCATGTTGCCCAGGCTGATCTCAAACTTCTGGGCTCAAGCAATCTGCCCACCTTGCCTTCCCAACTTGCTGGATTACAAGTGTCAGGCACTGTGCCCGGCCTCCAACATTTATAAAAGTCATAAATCACCTTTGTTGAGTTATAGATCTAGAAATTTTAGCTCACAAAGGAGCCTATATTCTTTGTGGTATCAAGTGACTCACTTTCTTTTTCTTTTTCTTTTTTTTTTTTTTTGAGATGGAGTTTCACTCTTGTTGCCCAGGCTGGGGCTGGAGTGCAGTGGCGCCATGTCGGCTCACTGCAACCTCCTCATCCCGGGCTCAAGCGATTCTCCTGCCTCAGCCTCCCAGCTACTCGGGAGGCTAAGCAGGAGAATCGCTTGAACCCAAGAAGTGGAGGTTGCAGTGAGCTGAGATCATGCCATTGCACTCCAGCCTGGGCAACAAGAGCGAAACTCCGTTTCAAAAAAAAAAAAAAAAAAATTAGCTGGGCATAGTGGCACGTGCCTGTAATCCCAGCTACTAGGGAGGCTGAGTCAGGAGACTTGCTTGAACCTGGGAGGCAGAGGTTGCAGTGAGCCGAGATTGTGCCACTGAACTCCAGCCTGCGCGACAGAGCGAGACTTCGTCTCAAAAAATAAAATAAAATAAAATAAAAATGCTGGAAAGCAGGAGCTTCAGTAAGTTTAATTCTCCGAAAACTTGCTGGTGATTTGTATGCCATACTTAGTGATTTATTAACAAAACAGAAGAGAAGCTGTTCAAGTTGTTAGAAGAGAATTCAAATTCCTGAGTAGGTTTTACCCAAATAAGTGACAACTTCAATCACATAATTATTGGGTGATCTGTTGTCAGCTCCGTGCATATGACCTAAGTTTTCACCTTAGAAACAAAAGGGAGAAGTTGTACTTTACAGGGTATGTTTTCTACATGTGGATAGTGTCAATGAAAAAAAATTTGAAAGTGCTGGAGCCCATTCTGGAGTTTCATGCATGCACTCATATAGCATTTGAGTTGAGTTCAAACCCTTTTTCACTCTACCAAGGTCCATCTCATGGGACTTTGGTCTTAGAGGAGGAATAAAAAGAGAACAACAATGAGCTCTAATATAAAACACAGGAAATGAGACTCGTGAGAAAGTTATTCTCGTCTTTACGTGTTCGGTTGAATGCCGCTGTGTCATGTAGGGCCAAGATTGCAGCAAAACAGGATCTGGGTCATTACACACTTTCCACTGAAGGGGGTCTCAAGAGTATCCTCATTTTGGGTTTGAGATGCCGATTCACCTTATCAGTATTTACTTTTTAAAAACTAGTTGGGTTTTTTTGAGACAGAGTCTCACTCTGTCACACAGGCTGGAGTGCAGTGGCACAATCTTGGCTCACTGCAGCCTCAACTTCCCAGGTTCAAGTGATCCTCCCACCTCAGCCTCCCAAGTAGCTGGGACTATAGGTGTGTACCCCCATGCTCAGTTAGCCTTTCAATTTTTAGATATGGGTGGAATTGGGTATGACTGGTCATATCCAGCAGGATGCCCAGTTAGGAGAGAAGCAGTTTGTTGTTTATGTGGTGTTTGATTTGTCTAAAATCTAACAAGTTCCTAAAAAGTCTTTCTGTTTCCTCATTTGTGGAAAAATTGGGTTGGCATTATGACTGTGGGAATAACTGTGAGGACTGAGGGGAAGAAGGAGCTAAAAAGAGAATAAAGGAAACAAAGAAGCTTACTTCAGATAGGATGGTCAGAAAGTCTGCTTTAGTGGACAATAATTAAGCTAAGGCCCAGAGGAAGAGACAAAGCTAGCATGGGAAGAGTAGGGGAAGAGCTTCTAGGATGAAGGAACAGTATAGCAAAGACCTCTAGGCTGGACAGGACTGGCATTGTGTGCCAAAGACAGAGTGGCATGAAATGAGCTTGCACTTGGGAGGATGGGTAGAAGCCAGGTCCTGTAGCAGTTTAGAGGACACTACAAGTTTATTTTTATTTATTTATTTATTTTGAGATGGAGTCTTGCTCTGTCATCCAGGCTGGAGTGCAGTGGCGCGATCTCAACTCACCCCAACCTCTGCCTCCTGGGTTCAAGTGATTCTCCTGCCTCAGCCTCCCAAGTAGCTGGGATTACAGGTGCCTGCCACTATGCCTGGCTAATTTTTGTATTTTTAGTAGAGACAGGTTTCGCCATGTTGGCCAGGCTGGTCTCCAACTCCTGACCTCAGGTGATTGGCCTGCCTTGGCCTCCCAGAGTGCTGGGATTACAGGTGTAAGCCACTGTGCCAGGCCTAAGTTTATATTTAGTTCTAAGTGTAGTGGGAATCCAATGAAGGATGTTGCATAGACTGTGAGTGATCTGATTTTTATTTTTTAAGATAGACCTATTTTCTGGGTAGAGAATGGGTTGGATAGGGCAAGGAGATGGGGTGGTAATGGAGAGGGTAAGGAGGTGGGGTGGTAATGGAGGTGGACAAGTTTGAAATGGCTTTGGATACAGAATGAACAAGACTTGTGATGAATTGGATGTAGAGAGTGGGGAGAAAAAATGAATCCAGATATAATGAAATTTCCTACTAGTGTGGTTAAATAGGAGGTGGTGCTACCTACAAGACAAGTAAGGCCTACTGTGGGAGAACAGGTTTGGGAAGGGAGGAACCAAGGCGATACATTGTGCTGTCTATGAATTTCCTGGTTGGAATATTAAGAAGGCAGGTGAATTATAACAGTCTGAAGTTCCAGGAAGAGATCAGGGCTGGAGATATAAATGTTGATAATGCTGGTATCAAGATGGCATTAAAGCCATGGGATTGGATAAAATCATTCAGAAAGAGAACAGAGGAGCTCCAGTAGTGCAATTGCTTAAAGTGCAGTACTTATATGACAGAAAGCACAGAAAGAGCAGAGATGTGGCTGGGTGTGGCGGCTCACGCCTGTAATCCCAGTATTTTGGGAGACCAAGGCGAGTGGATCACCTGAAGTCAGGATTCCGAGACCAGCCTGGCCAATGTGGTGAAACCCCATCTCTACTAAAAATACCAAAACTAGCGGGGAGTAGTGGCACATGCCTGTAATCCCAGCTACTTGGGAGGCAGGATAGTGCGGAGGTTGCAGTGAGCCGAGACCCTGCCATTGCACTCCAGCCTGACTCCACCTCAAAAAAAAAGAAAAGAAAAAGAGAAGACACGCAATGATTAAGATTCTCAGCTTTATTATTATTATTCTCTTTTTATTAAAAAGTAGAGATGGGAGCCATGCGCGGTGGTTCACACCTGTAATCCCAGCACTTTGGGAGGCTAAGGCAGACAGATCACTTGAGGTCAGGGGTTGGAGACCAGGCTAGTCAACATGGTGAAACTTCGTCTTTATTAAAATGCAAAAATTAGCCAGCCACGGTGGCAGGCACCTGTAATCCCAGCTGCTCAGGAGGCTGAGGCAGGAGAATCTCTTGAAACCGGGAGGCGGAGGTTGCAGTGAGCTGAGATCATGCCACTGCACTCTAGCCTGGGTGACAGAGTGAAACTCCCTCTCAAAAAAATAAATAAATAAATAAAAGTTGAGATGGGGGTCTCACTATACTGGCCAGTCTGGTCTTGAACTCCTGTCTTCAAGTGATTTTCCCACCTCAACCTCCCAAAGTTCTGAGATTACATGCATGAGCCACTGTGCCTGACCAGGATCCTTAACATTTAGAGGTTGGATAATGGAGGAAGACCTTAAATAGATGGCCAGGGAGATGACAAACAAGGAGAAAATGGCATCCCTGAAACTAGAAGGAAAGTATTTTCAGAAACAGTGAGTGGTCAATTGAGTCAATGTTGCTTAGAGATCAGAAAACACAAAACAGAAAAATGTCCAGTGGGTTAGGCAACATGGAGTCCTTGTTGGCCATAATGAAAGCAGGTTCAGTGAAGTGGTGGTTGGGGCAAAAGCCAAGCCAGAGGGAAGTAGATGGCAGGCAGAGGGCATTCTTCCAAGAAATTTGGCCCAGATGAAAGTAGTTTAAAAAACCCTTTGCTTCTTCTCTGTGTGTT
Source organism: Homo sapiens (assembly GCF_000001405.40). Lineage (NCBI taxonomy): Eukaryota > Metazoa > Chordata > Mammalia > Primates > Hominidae > Homo > Homo sapiens. The sequence continues at coordinate 5,642,748 of NC_000020.11, read as the reverse complement.
GTGAAAGAACAAAGCTCTAAGGTTATTGTCTTATTGCAGTCTGGTTTTCCCTTCCTGTTTTGATTGCAAAGTTCACTTTGCTTCAATTTTCAATTAACAGTAACTGGAAAATCATCTCCTTTCATCACAGCGTGAAACCTGCACAGCATTGTCCTGTAAAGCAACTACTAATTACATTGGCACAAGTAAACTTCCTGAAAGACTGTGTCCTTGTTGAATAAAGATATCATTCAAGCGACCCTGATTTCTTCTTAGAAGCTAAAAATATCTTTCCATCTTCTTAAAACCAATTAATTATTCAGGAGAAATATTCTCCTTCTAGTCTGGCCAAGAGATTGAAAATGACCTTTTAAGGGCAAGGGCAGCTTGTCTCCTTCTGTTAGTGCAAAAATAACATTGAAAGAGGAAAAATGGGTCTGTCATTCTCACTTCTGTTTTCCCTCCTCTTCTGCAACACGTGTCAAGGACAACCAGGTCTCAAGAACTTCATCTCTATTCCCAGCTCTGGGACTCAAATTAGTGCTTGAGTTTTCCTTAAAATGATCCTGGCTCCAATATTACATACCTCCTTTGTTTCCTCTTTTTTTTTTTAGATGGAGTCTCGCTCAGTTGCCCAGGCTGGAGCACAGTCAGCGCACTGCAACCTCCGCCTCCCAGGTTCAAGCGATTCTTCTGCCTCAGCCTCCTGAGTAGCTAGGATTATGGGTGCACACTACCACTCCTGGCTAATTTTTATATTTTTAGTAGAGACTGGGTTTCACCATGTTGGCCAGGCTGGTCTTGAATTCTTGAGCTCCCGTGATCTGCCTGCCTTGGCCTCCCAAAGTGCTGGGATTACAGGCGTGAGCCACCGCACCCAGCCTCCTCACCTTTTTAAAATTAATTTTTAAAATTTTCTGTAGAGATGGGTTGTTACCATGTTGCCCAGGCTGGTCTCGAACTCCTAGACTGAAGTGACTCTTTTGCCTCAGCCTCCCAAAGTGCTGGGATTACAGGCATGAGCCACCACGCTTAGCCTGTCTCTTCTTTTCTCCCCTCAATATTAGCTTTCCCTTGGCCCAGTCTCCCACCACCTCCTGGTGTTCATACCCTTTCTCATTGAATAGGACTGACCTATGTGACCAATGGGATATTACAGAAATGACAGAGGATGGCTTCTGAGGCTAGCTCACACAAAAACATTGCAGCCTGATCCTTGTTCTCTCTTGGATTGCTTACTCTGAGGAAGGCTGCCATCATATCATGAGAACAGTAAAGCAGTCCCTCATAGGGAGGCTCTGAAGGTTCCGGCTAATAACCAGCACTATGTGAGCAAGCCCTCTTGGAAGTAAATCTGCCAGCCCCAGGCAAGCCTTCAGATAACTACAACCCCAGCTGACATCTTGTCTGCAGCCTCCCAAGAAACCCCAAACCAGAACCACTCAGCTAAACTGCTTCTAGTCTTCTGACCCACAGAAACTGCAATATAAAATGTTTATTGTTTCAAGCCACTAAGTTTGGGGTGAATTGTTATATGGCAATAGATAAATAATACATCGCTGGGATTAAATGACTGGGAACAGCTTCATGACCTCCGGGAAGGAAAGGTTCACATATATTAAAGAGGATTGTTTTAAATTCAGGTATGTAATTGAGGAATTTTAGAAAACAGAAAACATGGGGTGAAGGATCCAAGGCAGGGGGTAAGGAGAGGAGACAGTTTTTCTGTGCATATGCATGTTTTGAGATGCAGGAAAGAGCAGAAGGGGCCGGGTGCAGTGGCTCACGCCTGTAATCCCAGCACTTTGGCAGCCTGAGGAGGGTGGATCACCTGACGTCAGGAGTTCAAGACCAGCCTGGCCAACATGACAAAACCCTGTCTCTACTAAAAATACAAAAATCAGCAGGGTGTGGTGGTGGGCACCTGTAGTCCCAGCTACTCAGGAGGCCAAGGCAGGAGAATTGCTTGAACCAGGAGGTGGAAGTTGCAGTGAGCCAAATTGCACCACTGCACTCCAGCCTGGGCAACAGAGTGAGACTCTGTCTGAAGAAAAAAAAAAAAAAAGGCCGGCCATGGTGGCTCACGCCTATAATCCCAGCACTTTGGGAGGTTGAGGCAGACAGATCACTTGAGGTCAGGGGTTCAAGACCAGCCTGGCCAACATGGTGAAACCCCGTCTCTACTAAAAATACAAAAATTAGCCAGGCTTGGTTGGTGGGCACCTGTAACCCTAGCTACTTGGGAGGCTGAGGCAGGAGAATCACTTGAACCCAGCAGGCAGAGGTTGCAGTAAGTCGAAATCACACTACTGCACTCCAGCCTGGATGACAGATCAAGACTAAGTCTCAAAAAAGCAAAAGGAGCTAACATATAGTTGAGTAGGTCCTGAGAACTTGCCTTCAGATCAAACACTGCCCAGCCTGTATTCATCAGGGCTTCTTACCTCCCTACACTTAAAAAATCTTTTATTGATTACATTATCATGGTAGATTAAAAATAACCCCCTAGGGAAGCCAGTTACCATGTGAGATGTGTGATTCTCTTTAACCCACCATGTTGTAAGGAAGCCCAATTTAGCCATGTGGAAAAGTACTTGAAAAGAGAAAACCAGCCTCAGCTGTTTCAGCCACTCCAATTAGCTACCAGGCGTGTAAGTAAAGACGCCATCTGATCAATACCGATAAAGAAACCTGCAGCTCCCTCTCCCCACGGTCTCCCTCTCCCTCTCCCCACGGTCTCCCTCTCCCTCTCCCCATGGTCTCCCTTTCCCTCTCTTTCCACGGTCTCCCTCTGATGCCGAGCCGAAGGTGGACTGTACTGCCGCCATCTCTGCTCACTGCAACCTCCCTGCCTGATTCTCCTGCCTCAGCCTGCCGAGTGCCTGCGATTGCAGGCGCGCGCCGCCACGCCTGACTGGTTTTCGTATTGTTTTGGTGGAGACAGGGTTTCCCTGTGTTGGCCGGGCTGGTCTCCAGCTCCTGACCGCGAGTGATCCGCCAGCCTCGGCCTCCCGAGGTGCCGGGATTGCAGACGGAGTCTCGTTCACTCAGTGCTCAATGGTGCCCAGGCTGGAGTGCAGTAGCGTGATCTCGGCTCGCTACAACCTCCACCTCCCAGCCGCCTGCCTTGGCCTCCCAAAGTGCCGAGATTGCAGCCTCTGCCCGGCCGCCACCCCGTCTGGGAAGTGAGGAGCGTCTCTGCCTGGCCGCCATCGTCTGAGATGTGGGGAGCGCCTCTGCCCCGCCACCCCGTCTGGGATGTGAGGAGCGCCTCTGCCCGGCCGCGACCCCGTCTGGGAGGTGAGGAGCGTCTCTGCCCGGCCGCCCCGTCTGAGAAGTGAGGAGCCCCTCCACCCGGCAGCCGCCCCGTCTGGGAAGTGAGGAGCATCTCCGCCTGGCAGCCGCCCCATCAGGGAGGCGGGAGACAGCCCCCGCCCCGCCAGCCACCCCGTCCGGGAGGGAGGTGGGGGGCAGCCGCCCCCCGGCCAGCCGCCCCGTCCGGGAGGTGGGGGGGCGCCTCCACCCGGCCTCCCCTTCTGGGAAGTGAGGAGCCCCTCTGCCCGGCTGCCACCCCGTCTGGGAGGTGTACCCAACAGCTCATTGAGAACGGGCCATGATGACGATGGCGGTTTTGTCGAATAGAAAAGGGGGAAATGTGGGGAAAAGATAGAGAAATCAGTTGGTTGCTGTGTCTCTGTAGAAAGAAGTAGACATAGGAGACTCCATTTTGTTCTGTACTAAGAAAAATCCTTCTGCCTTGGGATGCCGTTGATCTATGACCTTACCCCCAACCTGGTGCTCTCTGAAACATGTGCTGTGTCCACTCAGGGTTAAATGGATTAAGGGCGGTGCAAGATGTGCTTTGTTAAACAGATGCTTGAAGGCAGCAGGCTCGTTAAGAGTCATCACCACTCCCTAATCTCAAGTACCCAGGGACACAAACACTGCGGAAGGCCGCAGGGTCCTCTGCCTAGGAAAACCAGAGACCTTTGTTCACTTGTTTATCTGCTGACCTCCCCTCCACTGTTGTCCTATGACCCTGCCAAATCCCTCTCTGCGAGAAACACCCAAGAATGATCAATAAAAAAAAAAAGATGCCATCTTTGGACGGACATGGTGGCTCACACCTGTAAACCCAGCACTTTGGGAGGCCAAGGCAGGATTGAGTGAGGCCAGGAGTTCAAGACTAGCCTGCAACATAGTGAGAACTGCTCCCCCACCACACACATCTCTATGAAAAATTTGAAAATTAGCTGGCCGTGGTAGCACATGACTATAGTCCCAACTACTCAGGAGGCTGAGGTGGGAGGAACATTTGAGCCCAGGAGTTTGATGCTACAATGAGCTATGATTGAGCCACTGCACTCCAGCCTTGGTGACAGTGAGACCCTGTCTCAATAATAATAGTAATAGAGGAAGAAGGAGGAGGAGGAGGAGGAGGAGGAAGAGGAGGAGCCATTCTGGAAATCTGGTTCAGCTTTTAGGCCCACTCCAGCCCCAGCTGCCATCTTACTCCAACTGCATAGAAATCCTGAACAAGAACCTTCCTGCTGAGCCCAGTCAGCCTATAGAACTGAAAAAGATAATAAAATGGTGGTTTTAAGCTGCTAAGTTTTGGAGTGATTTGTTCTGTAGCAAAAATAATCAGAACAATGAAAGAAGGAATTAATCAGGGAAACACTAGGAATCCTTGTTTTGTAACGGAACCATTTGTCTGGCTGTATGACCTCCTCCAGCTCAGCTTCTCAGGTTCAGGAGGAGAGGTAATAAACAGTAGTGCTTATGCAAGATTTTCATTTTACCATGGCACATGAAGTGACATCAAACACCCTAGGCATGATAAATGGGCATTTAATAAAATTGGGGCCAAGTGTGGTGGCTCAAGCCTGTAATCCCACTTTGGGAGGCTGAGGTGGGAGGATTGTTTGAAGCCAGGAGTTTGAGACCAGCCTGGGCAACATAGTGAAACATCATCTCTGCAAAAAAATTTTAAAAGTTGGCCAGGCACAGTGGCTCAAGCCTGTAATCACAGCACTTTGGGAGGCCAAGGCAAGCAGATCACTTGAAGTCAGGAGTTCGAGACTAGCCTGGCCAACATGGCGAAACTCTGTCTTCACTAAAATATAAAAATTAGCCAGGCATGGTGATGCACACCTGTAGTCCTAGATACTTAGAAGGCTGAAGCAAGAAAATTGCTTGAACTCAGAAGATGGAAGTTGCAGTGAACACAATTTAAAAAGTTGCCAGACATGTTGGCCAGGCACGGTGGCTCATGCCTGTAATCCCAGCAATTTGGAAGGCCGAGGCAGGCGGATCATGAGGTCAGGAGATCGAGACCATCCTGGCCAACAAGATGAAACCCCGTCTCTACTAAAAATACAAAAATTAGCTGGGCGTGGTGATGGGCACCTGTAAGCCTAGCTACTTGGGAGGCTGAAGCAGAAGAATGGCTTGAACCTGGGGGGCAGAGGTTGCAGTGAGCCAAGATCGTGCCACTGCACTCCAGCCTGGTGACAGAGCAAGACTCTGTCTCAAAAAAAAAAAAAAAAAAAAAGTTACCAGACATGGCAGAGAGACAGAGAGAGATCCTATCTCAAAAAAAAAAAAAAAAAAAAAAAGAAAGAAAGAAAAGAAAAAATTCTAATTATCTGGCCTACCTTGTTTGACTGTAGGCCATAAGACCCCTATTCCAGAGAGGGTCTTGCCCCACACCCAGAAGGAAGTAGTGCTACTCGGAGAGGCCAGGAATCTAGACAGACAGGCCTTGCTGGGCTCCTCATTCAGTCTATTAACATTAGATCTTGCCCTTTTTTTCCAGTTACCTGGCTGTCCATACTTTGTTGAACCCAAGCATAAAAATCGACATTTTTTCCTGTATCTTTGAGTTTTCATTCTGAAGGCTCCCGTGTATACATGTCAAATAAATTTGTATGCCTTTCTCCAATTAATCTGCCTGTCAGTGGTTTTCAAATCTCCAGGGGGCCGAGGGCCTTGGCCCCTGCAGGAACATCCACATCTTCTTCATTTGTTTGTTTAAGACAGAGTCTTGCTCTGTCACCCAGGCTGGAGCACAGTGGCACTATCACGGCTCAGTGCAGTCTCGATCTCCCAGGCTCCAGCAATTCTCCTGCCTCAACCTCCCATGTAGCTGGGACCACAGGCATGTGCCATCAGGCCTGGCTAATTTTTTGATTTTTGATTGTTGTTGTTGACATGGGGTTTCATTTTGTTGCCCAGCTGGTCTTGAATTCCTGATTTCAAGTAATCCTCTCAACTCAGCCTCCCAAAGTAAAGCCCCACATTATCTTTATTGTTAACATTTTTCTTAGAATGCTGGAGGGTTTTTTTTTGTTTTTTTTTTTGTTTGTTTTTTTCTTGAGATGAGTCTTGCTATGTGGCCCAGGCTGGAATGTAGTGCTGCTATCTCGACTCACTGCAACCTCCGCCTCCTGGGTTCAGCCATTCTTGTGCCTCCGCCTCCGGAATAGCTGAGACTACAGGTGCTCGCCACTGTGCCCAGCCTAGAGTGCTGGAAGCTTTTAAAACCCATGGAGGCCGGGTGCAGTGGGCCTTAGGACCCTCCCCAGGGTCAGTCCTGCCCTATACACTCGAGTGTTACTGGTAAAGGGTCCGGATCCAGACCCCAAGAGGGGGTTGATCTCGGGCAAGAAAGAATTTGAAGCAAGTCCACAGAATAAAGTGAAAGCAGGAACGAAAGAATGGCTACTCCATAGGCAGAGCAGCCCCAAGGTCTGCTGGTCTGCTGGTTGCCTTTTCTGAGGTGGAGTTTTGCTCTTGTTGCCCAGGCTAGAGTGCAATGGCGTGATCTCGGCTTACCGCAACCTCCGCCTCGCGGTTTCAAGCAATTCTCCTGCCTCAGCCTCCCGAGTAGCTGGGATTACAGGCATGTGCCACCACACCCAGCTAATTCTGTATTTTTAGTAGAGACGGGTTTCTCCATATTGATCAGGCTGGTCTCGAACTCCTGACCTCAGGTGATCCACTTGCCTTGGCCTCCCAAAGTGCTGGAATTACAGGCATGAGCCACCACGCCTGGCTAGTTGCCCTTTTTTTTTTTTTTTTTTTTTTTTTTTTTTTTTTTTTAGAGACAGAGTCTGGCTCTGTTGCCCAGGCTGGAGTGCAGTGCTGCAATCTTGGCTCACTGCAAGCTCCACCTCTGCTGACCTCGTGATCCACCCGCCTCGGCCTCCCAAAGTGCTGGGATCACAGGCACGATCCACCGCGCCCAGCCCTGGTTGCCCATTTTTATGGTTATTTCTTGAATATATGCTAAACAAAAGCATATATGCTAAACATGTATATGAATATATGCTAAACAAAAGCATGAATGTGGTTCTTCATTCCTCCCCTTCTTAGGCCATATAGGGTTACTTCCTGATGTTGCCATGGCATTTGTAAACTGTCGTGGCACTGATGGGAGTGTAGCAGTGAGGATGACCAGAGGTCACTCTCATTGCCATCTTGGTTTTGGTGAGTTTAAGCTGGCTTCTTTACGACAAACTGTTTTATCAGAAAGGTCTTTATGACCTGTATCTTGTGCTGATCTCCCATCTCATCCCGTGACTTAGAATGCCTAACCATCTGGGAATGCAGCCCAGTAGGTGTCAGCCTTTTTTACCCAGCTCATATTCAAGATGGAGTTGCTCTGGTTCAAATGCCTCTGACAGAAGGAATGCTGAGGCCATGAAGCTTTCATAGAAACACAGAGGATTGGTTTGGAGAGCTTCGGGATGGCTGAACGTGTGGAGATTTCTAGAGGGTGGTGCACCCAGGGAGGGCATGGAAGCTCCGCACCCCTTTCTTCATATCTGTGCATCCCTTCATCTGTATCCTTTATAATAATAAACTGGTAAACATCGCTGTTTCCCTGGGTCCTGTGAGCCTCTCTAGCAAATTAAAGGAACCCAAATTGGGGGTCGTGGAGACTTCAACTTGTTGTTGGTAGGTCCGAAATTCCAGTGGCAGAGACTTGCAACTGATGTCTTCTGCAAGGGAGGCAGTGTTGGGGACTGAGACCTCAACCCATGGGATCTGATGCTATCTCCAAGTAGATAATGTCAGAATGAAATTGTAGGGCCCCCACCTGGTGTCGGCTGCTTGGTGTATGGGGAAAAACTCCCACATATTTGGCCACAGAAGTGTTCTTCTGTGTTGACGATCGTTGTGGTGGTGTGAGCACAGTGGAAAAGCACAGTTTGGGAGAGTTTTTCCTGAAACACACCCTTACAGAGGAGTAGCCATTTCCAAGCAACAAAAAAATTGCTGTGAGCTCCATAGTCAATGCAAGGGAAGCCTTTAGGAACACTCAGCCTGGTAAAAAACAAATATGACAGGAGATATCTGGGGGAAAAGAAGCAGAGGTGGGATCCAGGAGAGATCTCCTACTCAGCAAAGTTTGCAGGTGTTCTGCAGGCAGAACACTGGTTTCAGCCTGCTTTAGATCATTTTCGATCCAAGAAAGTAAATTTTTAAAAATTCTAGGTCTAGACATAGGATTGCCAGTTTTAATTTTGCCACAGGGAACACTGTAAAACAAAACACACTCCTGTCACTTCCGGGATTTTTTGTTTTTGTTTTTGAGACGCAGTTTCACTCTTGTTGCCCAGGCTAGAGTGCAATGGCAAGATCTCGGTTTACTGCAACCTCCGCCTCCCAGGTTCAAGCGATTCTCCTACCTCAGCCTCCCGAGTAGCTGGGATTACATGCATGGACCACCACGCCTGGCTAATTTTTGTATTATTGGTAGAGATGGAGTTTCTCCATGTCGGTCAGGCTGGTCTCAGACTCCTGACCTCAGGCGATCCGCCCCCCTCAGCCTCCCAAAGTGCTAAGATTACACGTGTGAGCCAGCGCACCCTGCCGTCACTTCCATTTTAATGGATATTTTGATCCATAAAAAGTAGAAACTGTCTGGGCACAGTGGCTCACACCTGTAATCCCTGCATTTTGGGAGGCCAAGTTGGGAGGATTGCTTGAGTCTAGGAGTTTGAGACCAGCCTGGGCAACATGGCGAAACCCCGTCTCTACTAAAAATACAACAACAACAAAACCTAACTGGGTGTAGTAGCTTTCACTTGTGGTCCCAACTACTCAGGAGGCTGAAGTGGGAGGATCACACCATTGCACTCCAACCTGGGCAACGAGAGTGAGACCTGTCTAAAAAAAAAAGAAAAAAAAAAGTAGAAACAAAAGACATTTATAGAAGGATACCTTTTTATGGGATAAATTTTGCATTTTTTTTTTTTTTTTGAGACAGAATCTTGCTCTGTCACCCAGGCTGGAGGGCAGTGGCGCGATCTCGGCTCACTGCAACCTCCGCCTTCGGGGTTTAAGGAATTCTCTGCTTCGGCCTCCTGAATAGCTGGGATTACAGGTGTGTGCCACCACACCCAGCTAATTTTTTGTATTTTTAGTAGAGATGAAGTTTCACCATCTTGGCCAGGCTGGTCTTGAACTCCTGACCTCGTGATCCATCCACCTCATCCTCCCAAAGTGCTGGGATTACAGGTGTGAGCCACTGCGCCCGGCCAAATTTTGCTTTAGGAAGAACCTATCACGTTTCCTTTGTATTTATCAGTTTTCTTCTGGCTGGTGAGCTTGTTTTCAGAAATCATGACCCGTTCCACACTGACTTTGGGAAAATTACTCTTCTGCTCAGGGTTCTAATGATTTTAGAGTATAGAAAGAGAAAGCCAGGCTGGGCTCACGCCTGTAATCCCAGCACATTGGGAGGCAGAGGTGGGAGGATTGCTTGAGCTCAGGAGTTCCAGACCAGCCTGAGTAACGTGGCAAAACTCCATCTCTGACAAAAGCCTGTAGTCTCTGCTACTTGGGGGGCTGAGACCAGAAGATTGCTTGAGCCCAGAAGGTCAAGGCTGCAGTGAGCCATGATCACACCACTGCACTCCAGCCTGGGTGATAAAACAAGACCCTCTGTCAAAAAAAAAAAAAAAAAAAAGAGAGAAGAAAAAGTTACTCAGGTGAATAAAAATAAAGAATGGAATGGTGAGTTGACACAAGGGATGTCGTGGAGACCACAGTCTTCAACTTTCTGGGATGTTCTCTCTCTGCTTCCCTCTACACATCTGTTCTGCCCCTCTGTCCCTTGATTGATCCTCTTGAACTTGGCCTGATTAGTTACAACCTCCTGCGCCAAATATCTAGCATTTTCTGAGAACAACCTTCTCAGTATCTATTATGGGTTGACTCATGTTCCTCAAAAACACATGTTCAAGTCCCAACCCCCATATCTGTGAATGCAACCTTATTGGGAAAGAGGGTCTTTGCAGATGTAATCAAATTAAGATTAAGTCATTAGGCCAGGTGTGGTGGCTCACGCCTGTAATCCCAGCACTTTGGGAGGCTGAGGCAGGTAGATCACTTGAGGTCAGGCATTTGAGACCAGTCTGGCCTAAATGGTGAAACTCCGTCTCTACTGAAAATACAAAAATTAGGCCAGGCGTGGTGGCTCACACCTGTAATCCCAGCACTTTGGGAGGCCAAGGCAGGCAGATCACCTGAGGTGGGGAGTTCGAGACCAGCCTGACCAATATGGAGAAATCCCGTCTCTACTGAAAATACAAAACTAGCCGGGCATGGTGGTGCACGCCTGTAATCCCAGCTACTCGGGAGGCTAAGGCAGGAGAATTGCTTGAACCTGGGAGGCAGAGGTTGTGGTCAGCTGAGATTGCGCCATTGCACTCCAGCCTGGTCAACAAGAGCAAACATCTGTCCCCGCCCCCCCCCCCCCACAAAAAAATACAAAAATTAGCTGGGCATGGTGGCAGGCACCTGTAATCCCAGCTACTCAGGAGGCTGAGGTGGGAGACTTGCTTGAACCCAGGAGGCAGAGGTTGCAGCGAGCTGAGATGGTGCCACTGCACTCCAGCATGGGTGTCAGAGCAAGACTCTGTCTCAAAAATAAATGAATAAATAAAAAAGATAAAGTAATTAGGGTGAGCCCTAATTGGTCTCCTTTTCTAAGAAAAGGAGAAGAAACACAGAGACACACAGGGAAGACAACAGGAAGCGAGATACACAGGAGAACACTGTGCAACAACACAGGCAGAGATTCAAGTGATGCCTCTACAAGCCAATAAGTGCCAAGCATTGCTGGGAGCACCAGGAGCTCAGAGAAAGGCATGGAATAGATTCTCCCCTACAGCCTTCAGAGAGATCATGGTTCTGCTGTCACCTTGATTTTGGACCTCTGACCTTCAGAACTGTGATAGTATAAATTTATTTCACTCTAAATCAGTGGGTTGGCCAGGTGCAGTGGCTAGCTGGGACTACAGGTGTACTCCACCATACCCAGCTAATTTTTTGTATTTTATAGAGATGGGGTTTCACCATGTTGTTGAAATGTAGAGATGGGGTTTCACCATCTTGTTCATGCTGGTGTAGAACTCCTGACCTCAAGGAATCTGCCCACCTCAGCCTCCCAAAGTGCTGGAATTATAGGTGTACGCCACCACACCTGGGCCAAATTATGTTTAAAAACTGATCCCCAAATGCTCAGAGAGACTCATTTGAATAATACAACAGTGGCCAGCTCTGTGTGAATTACTCTTTCTCTGTTGCAATTCTCCTGTCTTGATAAATTGGCTCTGTCTAGGCAGCTGGCAAGGTGAACCTGTTGAGTGGTTATATCCTGGGCTCCAGTGATCCTCCCACCTCAGCCTCCCGAGTAGCTGGGATTACAGGCACGCACCAGCATACCTGGTTAATTTTTTTGTTTTTAAATTGTTGGTAGAGACAGGGTTTCACCATGTTCCACAGGCTGGTCTCACACTCCTGGGCTCCAATGATCTGCCCTCCTTGGCTACCCAAAGTGCTGGCATTACAGGCATAAGCCACTTCACCTGGCCTTAATAAAGTATCATAATTTCTCTATGCCAAGCATTTGTACAAGATATGGTCCCTTAGGAGAAGAAACACTGTCTGGTTAGTAAAATAGTTACTCCAAGATGCAGGTATGCCAAACAAATTGGGCTATCATGGCTGAGAGTGGTGGCTTACACCTGTAATCTCAGCACTTTGGGAGGCCAAGGCTGGCGGATCACTTAAGGTCAGGAGTTTGAGACCAGCCTGTCCAACATGGTGAATCCCCATCTCTACTAAAATTAGCCAGGCGTGGCAATTGCCTGTAATCCCAGCTACATGGGAGGCTGAGGCAGGAGAATTGCTTGAACCCAGGAGGCAAAGGTTGCAGTGAGCTCAGATCGCGCCACTGCACTCCAGCCTGGGTGACAGAGCGAGACTCTGCCTCAAAAAAAAACCAAATTGGGCTATTCATAAATATCATTAATCGGGGCCTTTTATGGAAGCAACAGGCAGCATAGAGATCCAAAAAAAAAAAAGAAAAAAAAACTCACATCAACACTCAAAGATGTTATGTATAGTGTATTGTGTTTCCCTAATCAGATTGAAACAGCTGAAATGGGAAAAATCTTTGGGAGACTTTTTTTTTTTTTTTTTTTGCCATTCTTGGAATTCCTTCATGTTACAGTTGGGAAGATAGCCCTCATGACATGCAGAGCCCAGTTCTGAAGCATTCTACCTAAATAAATAAATGAAGCCTGAATTAGAGCCACATTAGTAAGTTCATCAATCATCTTTCAATTTAGGAATTGTACATGCAGGTAAATATCGAACAACCGGCTCTCCAAGGAGGATAGCCCTGATGAATGGTGTTTTCTGCTGGCTTCTGATTCCCATGATGGCCAATTTCAAGTCCCCAGGCTGAGGACAGTGAACTTGAAGTTGAGAGGAGATACGTGTACCAAGCATTTGAGCTATCTTCCGAACTGTATTGCTAAGGAGTCTGTTTTAATAGTAGTACTCGACATCTGCAGAGAACATAAAGGAAGAGTATTGTTTTCCGTAGGCCAGGTATCTCACATAAGAACTCCTTCACAGTTGGCATTCTTTTTTAATCCTTACATTTAATGAGGGAGATACTATCTCAGTTTTATAGGCCATAAAACTAAGGGCCTAAGAGAATTAGTGGTTTGTATAAAGCCGCACAGCCAAGCTGAACTAGGTACGTTATTTAACCTTTATGGCTTTTGTTTCCTTTGCTGTAAAATGTACTAACAATAGTATTTCAAAGATGGGCCAGGCGTGGTGGCTCACGCCTGTAATCCCAGCACTTTGGGAGGCCGAGGCGGGTGGATCACTTGAGGTCAGGAGTTTGAGACCAGCCTGGCCAACATGGTGAAATCCCGTCTCTACTAAAGATACAAAAATTAGCCAGGTGTGGTGGCTGGGGCCTGTAATCCCAGCTACTCGGGAGACTGAGGCAGGAGAATCACTTGAACCCTGGAGGCAGAGGTTGCAGTGAGCTGAGATTGTGACACTGCACTCCAGCCTGGGCGACAAAACAAGACTCCATCTCAAAAAAAAAAAAAAAAACAACAACAAAAACAAAACAAAACAAAAAAAACAAAGATGGTTGGGAGCAGTTAGTAAGATAATGCATGTAAAATTCTTAGCACATTGCCTAGTATGCAGTTATTCTCTACTTGAAATGGTAACAAGTGTTCATGATAGAAAATTAGAAAATGCCAATATACCAAAAGAAGAAAATTTAAAATGCCATTAACTGCCAACAGTCTTGATGGAGAATTCAGTTCTGGCTTAATTATGACTTATGAAAGGCAGTCCCAACATATGAAATGCTTTTTTCAATGATGAAGCATTTGAGCAATTTTTTTTTTCTTTCTTTTTTAGAGTCAGGGTCTTGCTCTGTCACCCAGGCTGGAGTGCAGTGGCATTATCACAGCTCACTGCAGCCTCAGACTCCTCAGCTTATGCCATCCTTTTGCCTAAGCCTCCTGAGTAGCTGGGACTATAGCATGTACCATCACGCCTGGCTTTTTTTTTTTTTTTTTTTTTTTTGAGACGGAGGGAGCCTTGCTTTGTCACCCAGGCTGGAGTGCAGTGGCATGACCTTGGCTCCCTGAAACCTCCCCCTTCTGGGTTCAAGTGATTCTCCTGCCTCAGCCTCCCCAGTAGCTGGGACTACAGGCATGCACCACCATACCCAGCTACTTTTGTAATTTTAGTAGTGACGGGATTTCGCCATGTTGGCCAGGCTGGTCTTGAACTCCTGACCTCAGGTGATCCACCCACCTTGGCATCCCAAAGTGCTGAGATTATAGGCCTATTTTTTTTTTTTTTTTTTTTTTGGGACACATGGAGTCTCTCTATTTTGTCCAGGCTAGTCTTGAACTCCTGGCCTCAGGCAATCCTTCCACCTCAGGCTCCCAGAGTGTTGGAATTACAGGTGTGAGCCACCACACCCGGCCTTGAGCAATTGTTGAATGCAATTCTGTTTGGATTATAATAAAAGTTTAGAGGCAGGGCAGGGTAGCTCAGGCCTGTAATCCCAGCACTTTGGGAGGCCAAGCCGGGCAGATCACTTCAGGTCAGGAGTTCAAGACCAGCCTGACCAACATGGCGAAACCACATCTCTACTAGAAAAAATACAAAAGTTAGGCAGGAGTTGTGGTGCATATGTGTAGTCCCAGCTACTTTGGTGGCCAAGGCACGAGAATTGCTTGAACCCGGGCAGAGGAGGCTGCAGTGAGCCAGATGGCACCACTGTACTCTAGCCTGGGCGACAGAGCAAGAATGACTCAAAAAAAGAAAAAAGAAAAAGAAAAGAAAAGCAAGCAAGTAAGCGAGATTGGGTTGTATACTGATGCATGCAAATTATTTTAAAAAATAAATTAGAGCAGGAATAATAATGTCATTGCCACTCATGGATGTTATGATATTCTGTCTGGGGTGGGAGTACCAAGAAAGGAGATGCAGCCAAGGCCCCAGGGCATTTAATAACAGTTGGATGAGACACCCATGGGTACACAGTGGTGTCTGTAAACGATATTTCTCATGAGTGTTGTAAGAGAGACAGGAAGACAGAACTGAGTTGAACACATTCACAGCTAGACAGGGGAGCAAATATGTTTCTTTCCAGCCTACTGTGCTAGTGGGTTCTCCTTGGAGCCTTGTGTTGAAAATGACTGTGGGGCCTCTTCTGCAGAGGTGCAACAGGGCTTCGTGTTCATCACATCTGCCTCCTCCTCTTCCTCATATTGCACTGAGGCCAAAAGGTAGAGAATTACTTGAAGCAAGCAAAGGGAAGCCTTCTGAAACTATAGATTCATAATATAGTTTATGATATGACTTTGGTATACAGAACACAGAGAACATGCACCAATAGTATTTAAAAAGAGAGATGAAAAGAGACATCATAAAAAAAAAACAGAGATGAAAAGAAAACTGCATACTATATAAAGAGATGTGGGCATCTTGGTTTGGCTGAACCTGGTGAAACAGGAAATTTTCCTTGATCCCATCATGGGCCTCATGACAGGGATGCCTCGCTTACTCAGCTCACAGCTCTCAACCCCTCACAGAAGGGGGAGGATGCAGGTGAGCAGGTGCAGGTGCCAGAGTGAGTGCTTTTGGGTGACAACAGGAGCAAAATTCCATGTGGGCCCCTGGCAGTGTCTAGCGGGGAGTACCCACGACCCCCAAGGCCCCAGAGGGTGTGTGTTATAGTGCTCTTTTAGCTTTGCCATCTATGTTAAACAGCTCAGTGGGCCCTCTCTTTTTTCGTGAGGTGGTTGCTCTCTGCCAGCGAGGGCAGAAGGTCAGTGTGACAGCCTTTAGCATCCGCACCCGTGGCACTCGAGCTCTTGATTAGCATCCAGGAAAAATCAGGTCACACAAATGAACTGAAGAGTGGTGAATACAGAGGATTTTATTGCTGATGAAAGTGGCTCTCAGCAGGAAGGGGAGCCAGAAGGGGGATGGAGTGGGAAGGTGATCTTCCCCTGGAGTCCAGCTGGGGACGGAAGCAAGGTTGTCAAGCCATCCCTCTGAAGTCAAGCTGCTTCTCTCTGACATCAAACTGCACTCTCTGATGTCCAGCTGCTTCTCTTCTCCCCTTCTCTGCCCTCTGCCAGTCAGGTCAGGGGTTTCCATGGGTACAGGATGAGTGGCAGGGTGGGTCATGGGTGGTTTTGGAAAAGGCAACTTTCAAGTGGGAAAACAGGAATGCATGTTCTCATTTTGGGCGAAGGTTCCAGGCTTGAGGGTAGGGCTTTACCAGGGACTCTGCCCTTTTCTGCCTACAATTTCTCTGACTCCTGTCCCTATCACTGGCATACTACAGATCAGCATTATTTTGAAGACAAAAAGAGATTTTTGGGTAACACGGGAATCTTAGAGCTCTGAGTTCCTTAAAAATTTTCAAAAGATGTTTTGATCTTCTAGGGAAAGAATTTTGGCTGTTTGCCTTATACTATGGGTCCTCACTTTGGTTATAATTCTATAATTTGAATCATGAATTGGTGATTTGAAAATGGCTTCTCTGGAGTTTGATCTGGGACCTAAGGACATAATCACTGATTTTAATGATGTTTTGATACTTTATTAGACAGTGATACCATTTTCTTTTATTTTCCTTTTTTTTTTTTTTTTTTTTTTTGAGACAGGGTCATACTGTCTCAGTGTCTTGGAGTATGGTGACGTGATCGTGGCTCACTATGGCCTTTTCAGGCCCAAGCAATCCTCCCACCTCAGCCTCCCAAGAAGCTGAGACCACAGGCACAGGCCACTACACTTGGCTAAATTTTTTAGTTTTTGTAGAGACAGGGTCTCGCCATATTGCCCAGGCTGGTCTTGAACTCCTGGGTTTAAGTGATCCTCCCACCTTGGCCTCCCAAAGTGCTGGGATTACAGGCATAAGCCACTGCACCCAACCTGAGGCTGTTTTTCTTTTCTTTTTTTTTTTGAGATGAAGTCTCACTCTTGTCCCCCAGGCTGGAGTGCAATGGCACGATCTCGGCTCACTGCAACCTCGGCCTCTCAGGTTCAAGTGATTCTCCTGCCTCAGCCTCCTGAGTAGCTGGGATTACAGGTGCCTGCCACCACGCCCGGCTACTTTTTGTATTTTTAGTAGAGATGGGGTTTCACCATGTTGGCCAGGCTGGTCTCGAACTGCTGACCTCAGGTGACCCACCCGCCTTGGCCTCCTAAAGAGTTGGGATTACAGGCGTGAGCCACCGCGCCCCGCCACCTGAGGCCATTTTTCTATAGAACCCTTCTGTGGTCAATTCCCTGCCTGGAACTTCTCTCCCCAAACCCAGAAAAATGTTGAAGCCACCATTGCAAAATTATAACTGAGCTGACCTAACCAACTCCATCTTGCTTCTAACTTCCAAGCTGTCCTTGTTCATTCTTGGGCATAGGCTGAACTAACTTTGGGAGAAACTTAGTTTATAGTTTAAAACAAAGACAATAACAGTCCTTTCCCAAAAAAACCCTCCTTCTTGCCTGGGGACTAGACTGCCTTTGTAGGATTAACAAATTAGCCACAAGATTAGAAATCATGGTTTAGGAGTCATGCAGCTGGAGGCTACAAGATGCTGACCCACCCTAAACTGCTCCTAAGATTAGTGCTTGAGATATTTTGCAAACTCTGCCCTTGATGGATCAGCTGGCAACACCCAGAAAGATAACCTGGTTCATCTGACCTTGTGGCCCCACTCAGGAACTGACTCAGTGCAAGAAGACAGCTTCAACTCCCTATAATTTCATCTCTGACATGGCCCATCCACATTCTCGGCTTACCAGCTTCCTCCCACCCACTAAGTTGTCCTTAAAAACTCTGATCCCCTGGCCAGGCGTAGTGGCTCACACCTGTAATCCCAGCACTTTGGGAAGCCGAGGTGGGCAAATCATCTGAGGTCAGGAGTTCAAGACCAGCCTGGCCAACATGGTAAAATCCCATCTCTACTAAAAATACAAAAATTAGCCGGGTCTGGTGGTGTGTGCCTGTAATCCCCGCTAGTTGGGAGGCTGAGGCAGGAGGATTGCTTCAACCTGGGAGGCGGAGGTTGCAGTGAGCCGAGATTGAGCATTGAGCCACTGGATTCCAGCCTGGGCAACAAGCAAGACTCTCTCACAAAAAAAAAAGAAAAACCTCTGATCCCCAAATGCTCGGGAAGACTGATTTGAGTAATAATAAAACTCCAGTCTCCTGTACCAGCTCTGTGTTAATTACTGTCTCTATTGCAATTCCCCTGTCTTGAGAAATCAGCTCTATCTAGATAGCAGGCAAGGTGAACCCACTGGGTGGTTACAAATTCTCTAAAATCAACTAATATTATTGATTGATTGATTGATTGAGACGGAGTCTCACTCCGCCGCCCAGGCTAGAGTGCAATGGCGTGATCTTGGCTCACTGCAACTTTAACCTCCCAGGTTCAAGCGATTCTCCTGTCTCAGCCTCTTGAGTAGCTGGGATTACAGGCACTCACCACCACGCCCGGCTAGTTTTTGTATTTTTAGTAAAGATGGGGTTTCGCCATCTCTACTAAAAGATGAGTATGTTTTACTCATGCCATGAGGTAAAACATACAACTCAATCATATTGGCCAGGCTGGTCTCAAACTCCCGACCTCAAGTGATCCACCTGCCTCGGCCTCCCAAAGTGCTGGGATTACAAGTGTAAGCCACCAGGGCTCAGCCTCAACTAATATTAGAATTTATTAATCCCTATTAATTTTTTTTTTCAGAGATGGTATCTCACTATGTTGCCCAGGCTGATCTCAAACTCTTGGCCTCAAGGGATCCTCCCACCTCAGCCTTGCAAACTGCTGGGATTACAGATATGAGCCACCATGCCCACGCAAATGCTATTTTCCATACCTGGCTGAGTAATAAAGTAACTTAGGAGATAGTTTTCATTTCTGATGGGCATTGGTTGACTGCACACACTATAATTTAGTTTTTTTTTTTTTTTTTTTTTTTTGAGACAGAGTCTTGCTCTGTCACCCAGGCTGGAGTGCAGCGGTGCAGTCTCTGCTGACTTCAACCTCTGCCTCCTCGGTTCAAGCGATTCTTCTGCCTCAGCCTCCCAAGTGGCTGGGATTACAGGTGTGTGCCACCGTGCCTGGCTAGTTTTTGTATTTTTAGTGGGAACCGGGTTTCATCATGTTGCCCAGGCCGATCTTGAACTCCTGACCTCAAGTGATCTGCCCACCTCAGCCTACCAAAGTCCTGGGATTACAGACATGAACCACTGTACCCGGCCCTAATTCAGTTTTCCAGTCATGAGTTATAGGTATAATGTTTGTATTAAATAAGTAAAGACCATTTATTCTGATTTTAAAAAGTACCAGCTAGGGTAATCCCACACCTGTAATCCCAGCACTTTGGGAGGCCAAGGTAGGTGCATTCATTGAGCTCGGGAGTTCAAGATCAGCCTGGGTAATATAGCGAAACCCCATCTCTACAAAAAAATACAAAAATTGGCCAGGCATGGTGGCATGCCCCTGGAGTCCCTGCTACTGGGTGACAGAGCAATACCCCATTTCAAAAAAAAAAAAAAAAGTCTTAGAATGCTAATCATTACTTTCATATTCCCTTGGTATTTTTTTCTTTTCTTTTTTATTTATTTTTATTTTATTTACTCATTTTTTTTTGAGACAGAGTCTCCCTCCTGCCACACAGGCTGGAGTGCAGTGGTGCTATTTTGGTTCAATGCAACCTTACCCTCCTGGGCTCAAGTGTTCCTTCCACCTCAGCTTCCTGAGTAGCTGGGACTACAGGTGCACCCCACCACACCCTGCTAATTTTTGTATTTTTAGTAGAGATGGGGTTTCGCCATGTTGCCCAGGCTGGTCTCAAGCTCCTGGGCTCAAGTGATTGGCCTTCCTCAGCCTTCCAAAGTGCTGGTATTATAGGCATGAACCACCCCACCTAGTCTGTCTTCCTTTTTCTTTAGGAAAATATTTTTATTATTTCATTTTTGATCTCTTAGCCTGTTTATATCTAGTCATATTAATTGATTGTATGATAGCATTGGTTAATTCCAAGTGGTTTGGATGATTTCCACCTTCTCTCCATGCACATTGGGTTTGGATTTAATTTGCTCTTTTAGCAGGAAAATATAGCAAGGGACATAGCCAGGATGCCCAACTATTTTCATGAAAGAGGATAAAGTTCCCTTTACCCAACAGGATTGAGATAATCAGGAGTTTGTTCTTTACCCTGAAATCCAAAGCCTGGAATCCTGGGCCAGGCTGGAAATATGAAATGCATGATTAGGAGAGTGAGTGAGCAACAGGGCATGGTGGGGGCCTGTGCTGGGTTGGGGTATGCATTCCAAAGTCAATACATTTTTTTTTTTTTTTTTGTGACGGAGTCTCGCTCTGTCGCCCAGGCTGGAGTGCAGTGGCGCAATCTTGGCTCGCTGCAAGCTCTGCCTCCCAGGTTCACGCCATTCTCCTGCCTCAGCCTCCCGAGTAGCTGGGACATCAGGCGCCCGCCACCACGCCTGGCTAATTTTTTGTATTTTTAGTAGAGACGGGGTTTCACTGTGTTAGCCAGGATGGTCTCGATCTCCTGACCTCGTGATCCGCCCGCCTCGGCCTCCCAAAGTGCTGGGATTACAGGCGTGAGCCACCACTCCTGGCCCAAAGTCAATACATTTTTAAAAAAAACCTCTCCAGTGGCTAAGCCCAGCATTGTTATATGATTAATAAATAAAATATTGACATCGAGGGTTGACAAACCTAGTACTTTTTCCTGAAATTTTCAGTGCTGTCTGTGAGTATATTTGCACTGTTATGTGCCAGCAACTGTGCACATAACAACTGGTATGATCAATAAGACATAGTCCTCGCCAGGGCCAGGTGCAGTAACTCATGCCTGTAATCCCAGCACTTTGGGAGGCCGAGGCAGGCAGATCACTTGAGGTCAGGAGTTCGAGACCGGCCTGGCCAATATGGAGAAACCTCGTCTCTACTAAAAATACAAAATTAGCCAGGTGTGGTGGTGCATGCCTGTAATCCCAGCTACTCGGGAGGCTGAGGCAGGAGAATTGCTTGAATCTGGAGGTGGAGGTTGTGGTGAGCTGAGATTGTGCCACTGCACTCCAGCATGGGCAACAAGAGCGAAACTCTATCTCAAAAAATAAATGAATAAATAAATAAAATAAAATAAAATAAAAAAGACCTCCTTGCCTTGAAAGCCTGCTTATAGGAAAGCAAAATAGAGATATAACAGATAAAGGCAAGGAAGTGTTAGTCGTCACTCTCGTTTTCATGTTATAAGTAAATAACAAAGGTAGGGTATGAGCCAGCAAGTCAGGAGTAGAACAGAGAGCAAAAGCATGGCCTCTAATCTTCCCCCATCTAAATCATGCACATAATTAATTGGGTGTCATTGCCAAGAACCCCTGTCTTCCTGACTCCAGTCCTAGCTCACTTTGGCTGGCTTCCAGCCTGGAGTTGGCAGCTGGGTTTTTGAGCCTGGTGTGTGGTAACCGCGCTGTTAAAGCTCTTTTGTTCACAGTAAGGATATACCCTGCAAACAGCAGCTCATTCTGTGGACAGTCATCAATATTTTCACTAAAATGATAAAATGATAGCCAGTGAATTGCTGAAACATTTAAGCAGTAGAAAGAATTCCCTTGGGGAATCCATTTTAATGCCGAATGCACAAGACTGAGAGGCATTTGGAAAGATACAAAAAATTAATCATAATAACATTATTTTTCATCATCATAATAAATGGACCAGGGAGGAAACAAAATGGCTCAGTTCAATGTTTTCTGAAGTAACTTTGGCTTCTTAGTTTCATAAGGTTTTTTTTTTTTTTTTTTTTTTGAGATGGAGTTTCACTCTGTCACCCAGGCTGGAGTGCAGTGGCACAATATTGGCTCACCACAACCTCCGCCTCCCGAGTTCAAGCGATTCTCCTGCCTCAGCCTCCCAAGTAGCTGGGACTACAGGTGCCCGCCACCACGCCCGGCTAATTTTTTGTATTTTTAGTAGAGACGGGGTTTCGCTATGTTGGCCAGGCTGGTCTCGAACTCTCGAGCTCAGGCAATCCACCCGCCTCGGCCTCCCAAAGTGCTGAGATTACAGGTGTGAGTCACCATGCCTGGCAGTTTTATAAGGTTTTGATTTCTAAAGAGTCTATATTACACATGCCTTAAAGAGCTGCAATTGGGAGGCTGAGGGAGAAGAATGGCGTGAACCCGGGAGGCAGAGCTTGCATTGAGCCGAGATCACACCACTGCACTCCAGCCTGGGCGACAGAGCGAGACTCTGTCTCAAAAAACAAAAAACAAAAAACAACAACAAAAAAAGGCTGCAATTATGTTACATTGTGTTAAAGGTGGTAATTTTTCTTTAAAGCTTCATTGGGCCGGGGGCGGTGGCTCATGCCTGTAATCCCAGCACTTTGGGGGGCCAAGGCAGGTGGATCACCTGAGGTCACAGGTTCAAAATCAGCCCGGCCAACATGGCGAAATTCCGTCTCTACTGAAAATACAAAATTAGCTGGGCATGGTGGTGCATGCCTGTAATCCCAGCTACTTCAGGGGCTAAGGCAGGAGAATCGCTTGGACCTAGGAGGCAGAGGTTGCAGTGAGCCGAGATCACGCCACTTCACTCCAGCCTGGGTGACAGAGTAAGACTCCATCTCAAAAAAGGTGGGGGAGAAAAAAGCAGTAATATGTTTCTTAATGAAAAAGAAAAGCCGGCCAAGAGTGGTGGCTCACGCCTGTAACCCCAGCACTTTGGGAGGCAGAGGTAGGCGGATCACCTAAGGTCAGGAGTTCGAGGCCAGCCTGACCAACATGGTGAAACCCCACCTCTACTAAAAATACAAAATTTGCCAGGCATGGTGGCACATGCCTGTAATCCCAGCTACTCGGGAGGCTGAGGCACGAGAATCACTTGAACCTGGGAGGCGAATGTTGCAGTGAGCCAAGATTGCGCCATTGCACTCCAGCCTGGGCGACAGAGTGAGGCTTCTTCTCAAAAAGAAAAAAAGGGAAAAAAGAAAAGCCGGGCATGGTGGCTCACGCCTGTAATTCCAACACTTTGGGAGGAAGAGGCGGGTGTATCACTCAGGTCAAGAGTTCGAGACCAGCCTGGCCAACACGGTGAAACCCTGTCTCTACTAAAAATACAAAAATTAGCCAGGCGTGGTGGCAGGTGCCTGTAATCCAAGCTACTCGGGAGGCTGTGGCAGGAGAATCACTTAAACCCAGGAGGTGGAGGTTGCAGTGAGCTGAGATCGCACCACTGCACTCACTCCAGCCTGGGCGACAGAGTGAGACTCCATCTCAAAAAACAAACAAAGAAAAGAAATAAAAAAGAAAAAGATTTTTTCATTTCTTTTCTTTTTTTTTTCTTTGAGGCAGGGTCTGGCCCCCTCACCCACCCTGAAAAAGAAAAAGATTTGAAAAATTAAAAAATGGTAACAGCCTTTCCCAAAACTAAACTGCCTTTGTAAAACTAATGAAAGGCCACAGGTTAGGAGGATGGAAGGGGTTAAAATTTGACTAAGATGCAGATGTATTACAAATCTTTATTCTGGAAATCACAAGATTTGCGACTTCTCCAATTACTCCTGTAATTAACATCACTGTTGTAGAACCTAAGACTAGACTTTTGAGATGGCTTTTGAATTTTTTTTTTTCTTTCTTTTGGAGACAAGGTCTCCCCTCTGTTGCCTGGGTTGTAGTGCAGTGGTGTGATCAGAGCTCACTGTAGCCGCAACCTCTCAGGCTCAAGCAATCCTGCCACCTCAGCCTCCCAGGTAGCTTAAACCACTGGGACATGCCATCAGGTCTGGCTGATTTTTGTATTTTTGTAGGGACAGAGTTTTGCCACATTGCCCAGGCTGGCCTCAAACTTCTGGGCACAAGCAATCCACCTGCTAGGGCCTCCCAAAGTGCTAGGATTACAGGTGTGAGCCACCATGCCTGGCCCTTATTTATTTATTTATTATTTATTTTTGAGACAGAGTCTTGCTCTATCACTCAGGCTGGAGTGCAGCAGTGAAATCTTGGCTCACTGCAACCTCTGCCTCCCAGGTTCATGCAATTTTCCTACCTCAGCCTTCCAAGTAACTAGGATTACAGGCGTAAGCCACCATGGCTGGCTAATTTTTTATTTTTATTTTTTAGAGATGGGGTCTTGCTATGTTGCCCAACTGGTCTCACATTCCTGGTCTCCAGCAATCCTCCCCCGTCAGCCTCCCAAAGCATTAGGATTACAGGCATGAGCTACCACACCAGGCCGTCCTATAGTGTTAAATTCTCATTTCATAAAGGAAGAAATGGGTCAAGGAAGACCTTTTGACCTTACCATGTGAACCTTTCTTGCTCCAGACATTTGGATCTTATGATGGATTCAAGAAGTTGGAAAGCAATATACCCAAAAAACTGCAGCCAATTTAAAATTGGTTTAAAGGCTCATATTTGAGGCACTTAAATTGCTTCAGAAATCAGCAATTCCTTGGTCTTCTCCATATAGAATTAATCTTTATCTTTGTTTTGTTTCTTTTCTTTTCTTTTTTTTTTTTTGAGACAGAGTTTCGCTCTTGTTGCCCAGGCTGGAATGCAATGGCGCCATCTCGGCTCACTGCAACCTCCACCTCCTGGATTCAAGCAATTCTCCTGCCTCAGCCTCCCGAGTAGCTGGGATTACAGGCATGTGCCACCACGCCCTGCTAATTTTGTATTTTTAGTAGAGGCAGGGTTTCTCCATGTTGGCCAGGCTGGTCTCGACCTGCTGACCTCAGGTGATCTGCCCGCCTCGGCCTCCCAAAGTGCTGGGATTACAGGTGTGAGCCACCGCGCCCAGCCTTTAGGATTGATCTTTATCTAAAAGAACAATCAATAGCAAACACTAACAATTTTATCACCTACATGAAGCCTAGGTAGTGCATACTATAGTTTGGGAAACTGCCGCATGGACTCAAGCCAAGGGAGTAAAAGGCATGGAAAGTTTCTTTGAGTAGCAGGGCCACCAATGAGGTGCATAAAACACATAAAATTGATAGTGTTTGAGTCTGGTAAAAGATTCTCACAGTAGATCAGTTGTGGAATATCTGAGGAGAATAGTCAAAATATTTTCATGAATTGGCCAAGAGATAAGTATATGTGATTACTCTTTTATCCAACTCATAAAGAATATTTCTGGGAGAAGAATCAGTGCAAAATGAAGCTGATAATAGCTGAAACTGCCAAGGTAAGCTGTGCTATTACCCAAACATTGCTGGAAGAATCAATACTTTGTAACAAAATATAGACTTGCAAAATTGGACTCATGAAATAATGTGGCCACAGAAGGAAACTCACAATGGTAGAAGCTATAGTTGGTGGTTGGTTTAAAAAAATCACTGTATTGGCTGGGTGCGATGGCTCACGCCTGTAATCCCAGCACTTTGGGAGGCCGAGGCAGGTGGATCACAAGGTCAGGAGTTTGAGACCAGCCTCCCAACATGGTGAAACGCTGTCTCTACTAAAAATACAACAATTAGCTGGGTGTGGTGGCGGGCACCTGTAATCCCAGCTACTTGGGAGGCTGAGGCAGAATTGTTTGAACCTGGAAGGTGGAGATTGCGGTGAGCTGAGATCTTGCCATTGCACTCCAGCCTAGGTGACAGGGCGAGACTCCGTCTCAAAAAAAAAAAAAAAAGATTCTCATAGTAGAGCAATTGTGGAATATCTGAGAATAATCAAAATATTTTCATGAATTGGCCAAGAGATAAATATAAGTGATTATTCTTTTTTTTTTTGAGACAGAGTTTCACTCTTGTTGCCCAGGCTGGAGTGCAATGGCACGATCTTGGCTCACTGCAACCTCTGCCTCCCAGGTTCAAGTGATTCTCCTGCCTCAGCCTCCCTAGTTGCTGGGATTATAGGCATGTGCCACCATGCCTGGCTAATTTTGTATTTTTAGTAGAGACGGTGTTTCTCCATGTTGGTCAGGCTGGTCTCGAACTCCCGACCTCAGGTGATCCACCTGCCTCGGCCTCCCAAAGTGCTGGGATTACAGGCGTGAGCCACTGCGCCCGGCCTATAAGTGATTATTCTTTTATCCAACTCATAATTAATATTTCTGGGAGAAGAATCAGTGCAAAACGAAGCTGATAATAGCAAAACTGCCAAGGTAAGCTGTGCTATTACCTAAACATTGTTGGAAGAATCAATACTTTGTAACAAAATATAGACTTGCAAAATTGGACTCATGAAATAATGGTCACAAAAGCCAACTCATAATGGTAGAAGCTATAGTTGGTGGCTGGTTTAAAAAAATCCCTGTATTGGCTGGGCACGGTGGCTCATGCCTGTAATCCCAGCACTTTGGGAGGTGGATGTGGGAGGATCGCTTGAGCTCAGGAGTTTGAGACCAGCCTGGGCAACATGGAGAAGCTCCCCTCCACCAAAAATGGTGGCATGCACCTGTGGTCTCAGCTACTTGGGAGGCTGAGGTGGGAGGATTGCTTGAGCCTGGGAGGTGGAGGCTGCAGTGAGCTGAGATTGCATCACTTGCACTTCAGCCTGGGTGACAGAGTAAGATCTCGTCTCAAAAAAAAAAAAAATCACTCTATGATCCTGGGCAACATAGTGAGACTACATCTCTAACACACACACACACACACACACACACACACACACACATACCCCAAATTAGCCAGGCATGGTGATGTCCACCCATAGTCTCAGCAACCGAACAAGATCTTGTCTTGGCCAGGCCCAGTGGCTCACTCCTGTAATCCCAACACTTTGGGAGGCTGAAGCAGCAGATCACCTGAGGTCAGGAGCTTGAGACCAGCTGGGCCAACATGACAAAACCCCGTTTCTACTAAAAATACAAAAATTAGCTGGGCATAATAGTGCACACCTGTAATCCTAGCTACTTGGGACGCTGAGGAAGGAGAATCACTTGAACCCAGGAGATGAAGGCTGCAGTGACCCAAGATCACACCGTTGCACTTTAGCATGGGGGACAGAGCAAGACTCTGTGTCAAAATAAATAAATAAATACATACATACATACATACATACATACATACATACATACATACATAAACCAGTAGCAGCAAAATTTTCACCAAAGATTAATGTTCACAATGTCACAGGCTGGGTGCAGTGGGTCATGCCTGTGATCCCAACACTTTAGGAGGCCGAGGCTGGAGGATAACTTAAGGTCAGGAGTTCAAGACCAGCCTGGCCAACATGGCGAAACCCTGTCTCTAATAAAAATACAAAAATTAGCTGGGCGTAATAGCACACACCCGTAATCCCAGCTATTTGGGTGGCTGAGGCATGAGAATCGCTTGAACCCAGGAGGTGGAGGCTGCAGTGGGCCAAGATTACACCACTGCACTGCAGCCTGGGTCACAGAGTGAGTCTCTGTGTCCAAAAAAAAGCCACTTGTCACTTGTAAAGGGTAGGATTCAAGCCCATGTCTGGCTTCTATGTCTAGAGTTTTTTGCATCAATACTGCTAATTTTTTTTTTTTTATTAAAGAGACACAGCCTCCCTTTGTCACCCAGGCTGGAGTGCAGAGGTGCAATCATGGTTCATTGCAGCCTGGACCTCCCAGACTCAAGAGATCCACCCCTCTAAGCCTCTGGAGTAGCTAGTGCTACTGGCTGGTGCCACCATATTCTGCCATATATCTGACATGGATATATATATATATATATATATATATATTTTTTTTTTTTTTGAGCTAGAATCACTTTTTTGTTGCCCAGGCTGGACTGCTACCATTTTTCTTTCTTTCTTTTTTTTAAATCAGGCAGCCTCCTTAGCCAGAGTAGGCTCAGACTCCCTACTAATGTTTTTCAAAAAATGATTGCATAAGGTGAGATCCTGTGGTCCTGATTTCAGACAAATGAGGTAACGTATTTCATTATTTAATCAAGTACAATAATGAATGTTAAATATTTTATACAATTCAAAACATATGGAGCTCTTCTGGAAGTAATCAGTTAAGACCTAAATTGATCTCATTAACCATATGTTTGAAAAGTTATGGCTGGGAGCCATGGCTCATGCCTGTAACCCCAACACATTGGGAGGCTGAGGTGGGAGGGTCTCTTGAGCCTAAGAGTTCAAATTCAGCCTGGGCAACATGATGAAACCCCATCTATACAAAAAATAAGAAACAATTAGTCAGGCATAATGGCATGGTGGCACACACCTGTGATCCTAGCTACCAGGGAGGTGGAGGTGGGAGGAGCCTTTGAGCTCAGGAGGTCAGGGTTGCAGTGAGCTGTGATCATGCACTCCAGCCTCGGTGACAGAGCAAGACCCCGCCTCAAAAAAAAAAAAAAAGAAAAAAGAAAAGTTAACATTTCACAGAGTGTTGGGAGAAAGGAATGTGGGAATGCATTACCTATATTCTAATTATCTATATTCTACTTCAGTATCCCAATCAGAACAGTGCGATTATGGAGTAATCTAAAATACATTGCATTATCAAAGAGTTTCTAAGCAAGGCTGTGTAAAATGGCATCTGTAGGAATTCCTTCTTCTCTTGGATGAGTATAGTTTCTCTGCCAGTCTTCTTATTTATTCATTTTGAGATGGAGTCTGGCTTTGTCACCCAGGCTGGACGGCAGTGGCACGATCTCGGCTCACTGCAACCTCTGTCTTCTGGGTTCAAGCGATTCTCCTGACTCAGCCTCCTGAGTAGCTAGGACTACAGGCGTGTGCCACCATGCCCGGTTAATGTTTTGTGTTTTCAGTAGAGACAGGATTTCACCATGCTAGCCAGGATGGTCTCAATCTCCTGACCTCGTGATCCGCCCTCCTTCACCTCCCAAAGTGTTGGGATTACAGGAGTGAGCCACCGCACCCAGCCTCTCTGCCGGTCTTCTAATGTTACTGGCTTGTTCCATATCTTTTAGAGCAAGCTCGTCCAACCCATGGCCCGGGGGCTACATGTGGCCCAGGACGGCTTTGAATGCAGCCCAACACAAATTCGTAAACTTTCTTAAAACTTTATAAAATTTTTGCGATTTTTAAAAAGGTCATCAGCTATCTTTAGTGTTAGTGGATTTTACGTGTGGCTCAAGACAATTCTTCTTCTTCCAATGTGACCCAGGGGAGCCAAAAGAACCCCTATTATAGACATTTCTCAGTCTCTGGCCATTGATGGCATCCTTTGAATATGTATAATTCTTCTGTCATTTCAAAAGGATTTAGGGAAGGAGCATGGATTAGGTCTATTAACTGGAACTATAAACACTAGGCAAATATCTTGACTAAATGGTGGTTATAGAAAAATAAATATCTGGCTGGGTGTGGTGGCTCACGCCTGTAGTCCCAGCACTTTGGGAAGCCGAGGTGGGTGGATCATCTGAGGTCAGGAGTTCGAGACCAGCCTGGCCAACATGCTGAAACCCCATCTCTACTAAAAATAAAAAATTAGCCAGGCATGGTGGCAGGTGCCTGTAATCCCAGCTACTCAGGAGGCTGAGGCAGGAGAGTCGCTTGAACCTGGGAGGTGGAGGTTGCGGTGAGCCGAGATAACGCCATTGCAATCCAGCCTGGGCAACAAGAGCTAAACTCTGTCTCAAAAACAACAACAAAAACTCCATTTCAAAAAAAAGAAAAATAAAGATCTATAAACATTTTAAGGAAGCAAACTCTTATGAAAAAATTCGTCACTGAAGTATGACTAACAGAGGAAATTCACTCCAAACTACGTAGCAAATGTAAGACAGCAGAGTTTAATGGGTAATGGCACATAACCAGAAGGAATTTTAATTCTTTAAGAAATCTGGGATTAAAATGAGTACTATCAAAAAACTATTGCATCCTGAGCCTAGCATAAAGCAGGCACTTAATTATTTAACTGAATGGATGACATTGTCAGAAATTTTCTGGGATTGAATCCAAGCTAAATATCAAATGTGGTAGAGGACAATCCGATTTATAAAACCAGAAATTCTGCCTAAAGCTAGAGCTCATCTAATCCAAACACATTTTCAGTAGGCCCATTTTGAACTAGCGTGCAACTCGAGCTATTTCTCTATGTCTTGTTGTAAGAGAACTTCGACATCTCCTGAAAGGTGGTTCTTTTTAGTCGGTTTTTTGTTTTGTTTTGTTGTTGTTTTTGCGAGAGTCTAGCTGTCACCCAAGTAGGAGAGCAGTGGTGCAGTCTTGGCTCACAGCAACCTCCACCTCCCAGGCTTAAGTTATTCTAGTTCCTCCGCCTCCCGAGTAGCTGGAATTACAGGCGCTCGACCACACCCGGCTAATTTTTGTATTTTTAGTAGAAACGGGGTTTCGCCATGATGCCCAGGCTGGTCTCAAACTCCTGACCTCAGATGATCTGCCCGCCTCGGGGTCCCAAAGTACTGGGATTACTGGCATGAGCCACCGCACCAGGCCTCTTTTTACTTTTCAATATCTCACTTGATTTAAGTAAAAGCTGCTGATATAATTTTATATTGGACACTAACCAGAGGGTAACTTTGATACTGGTAAGGTAACAGTGTAAGTTAGATGAGTTGCAAAGTTTTTGTTTTGTTTTGTTTTGTTTTTTGAGACAGAGTCTCTCTCTGTTGCCATGCTGGAGTGCAGTGGTGCGATCTCAGCTCACTGTAACCTCCACCTCCCAGGTTCAAGCAATTCTCTTGCATCACCCTCCCAAGTAGCTGGGACTACAGGCGTGCGCCACCATGCCTGGCTAATTGTTGTATTTTTAGTAGAGACGGGGTTTCACCATGTTGGCCAGGATGGTCTTCATCTCTTGACCTCGTGATCCGCCCGCCTCGGCCTCCCAAAGTGTTGGGATTACAGGCGTGAGCCACCACGCCCCGCAAGTTGCAAAGTTTCGTAAGAGAACTTCAAGTGGCAAATGCTGATTAACTTTCTGGAGACCACCAAAGGAGAGGAAAAAAAAATTTTTTTTTTTGATACGGTTCATTTTTTAGAAAATAAACTACAACTCTGGCAGGGAGAGTCAGCTTTCAAAAAAGTTCCTTCAAACTTTAATTTGCATACTTGTTAACGTGGGGATGTTGCTAGAGGCAGATTTGATAGGGTAGGTCTGGGATGGTCCTGGGAGTGTGCAATTCTGAGTTCTGGCAGGTGCTACTGGCTTGTCGACCATACTTTGCGTAGCAAGGGTATAAACTCTCATCCAGCTTAGGTGACTTAATAGTTTTCAACTAATGATTTGATCCAAGTGTGATTGCTGTTTTGCAACGAAAGAAAGTTTCTAGAAAACATCAGTACTGGTAATTTCCCCCGTTTTCAAATGGGGAAAAAAAATACAACTCTGAATTGTAGCTCCAGGATCCATAGTCGGTTTTTTTTTTTTTTTGAGACGGAGTTTTGCTCTCGTCCAGGTTGGAGTGCAATGGTGCGATCTCAGCTCACTGCAACCTCCGCCTCCCGGGTTCAAGCGATTCTCCTTGTCTCAGCCTCCCGAATAGCTGGGATTACAGGCGTGCACCACCACACCCGGCTAATTTTGTATTTTTAGTAGACACAGGGTTTCACCATGTTGGCCAGGCTGGTCTCGAACTCTGATCTTAGGTGATCCGCCCGCCTCGGCCTCCCAAAGTGCTGGGATTACAGGCGTGAGCCACCGCGCCCGGCCCACGTGGGTTATTTCTAAGGCGGCTTTGGTGGACCACAGTACAAGCCTATGACCCCAGGGCAGCTCTCCAACGTGCGGGCGCCGGGGTCGGCTGAGAAGGGCAGCGGGGACACGGGGGATGCCCGGCCGCCCTCGGCCGCGTACGTCAGCCCTTTCCAGGAACGCGCGGGCCCGCACCCCCCGCACGCGGCTGCCGATTGGCTGGGACGGCGCCGGGCGTGACGTCAGGGCCCGCCCCACCGCCCTCCGGCCCCGCCCCGCGGGGTGGCCTGGCAGTTTGGTCTGGAGCAGCTGAAACCGGTTTGAGCGTGGCTGCTTCCTGCCGCTCGACGCCGCGGCAGGCCGCCTGGGGGGAGCGCTGGCGAGGCACGGACGGCGGGCGCCCGGTACCTCTGCCCGCGGTCCTCGCTCTCGGGCGGGGCGGCGGCGACGCGGACCTGCGGACTAGCGAACCCGGAGGTGAGGCAGCGAGCCGGGTGCGGGGGCCGGGCGGCCACTCACGTGGCGGGCTGAGCTGTCAGGGCGGCCCGGGACGCGGCGGGCCTGGGGCGTCGGGGCCGAGGCGCGGGCGGGGTCCTCGGGCCGGGCCGGGCCGGCCACTGCCCGCAGGGGAACGGCGGCCGGGCGTTCGCTGCGCTAAATCGGTGGCTGGGACGCACTCTTCGACTTTTATTGTTCACTGCCGCGCTTCTGCTGGGCTGCCTGGGGCTTAGTTCCCTTCTAAAAAATACGTGGAGCATTTGAGGAGTAGCAGGGTGCGTGGAGCATAGGACTACCGCAAATATGCAGAGTACTGAGTCGGGGAACAAAGACACCAAAAATGCAGATGAGGTCCTCTGGGGACATCCCCTGCCCCACAGCGGCCCCCGGCTCACCGCCGCTCTCTGTCCCTAAGTTACTCACCGTGTTTTGACAACTGCTTATTTTCTGAAATTGCCCGGACACGTAGTCTAGGGCATGCTTGTATAATTCAGTTATTCCAAGAAACTAAAGTGCCTTTCCTAGGAAAAGGTTCCAGGAATAGTCATGAGTGCCCTCGATACAATTTTTTAGGTCTGCTGCCCCTTCTCTCCAAAGCTCTACTTTTCCCAAAGCTCTTCAGACTGCCTTGCTGAGGTAGGAGAGAGAGCCTCAATCACTTAGGTGTCCTCATCAGCCCTCTCCCCAGACTCCACTGGCTGGCTGGAAAAGAAATCGGGCATGAATTGTAGAGGATTCTTCCACCTTAAGGCAGCTGTTAGTCTGATGTAGACCTGCATAGAGGAACTGATGGAACTGAGCAGGATGTTTGGACCCGATGTTTTTTCTTCATACTCTTCTGTCGCCTCCTCCCATTTCTGCACAGTTCTCACCCACTACTCTACCCCGTCATGCTTCCCCTTGCTACGTTGCTGACGAGCTGTGACTTAACTAAGAAATAAATACAAGGTATCAGTCTTTTTTTTTTTTTTTCAAAATTCCTAATGTCGTGGATACAAATAACACCAAGCAAACAAGCAAAACTGCACATGGTGCAATCCATTCCTGATTTAAGAACTAGGAAGAACCAAGAGCTAGAGAAAACCAGTATTCTAGACAAAATTTAAATCTGCAAAATAACGACGTGGGAAAGCTGGACTCTTGAGAAATAATGACCACAAAAGAAAACTCATCGTAGCAAAGTGAGTAAAATTTGATACGTACATAAAGTACGTTGATGAATCGAATCTTTACGTATGAGTTAAAACAGGAAAAAAGGTATGAAACATACACAAGAGAATAATATCACGGTAAAATGAATGGAAAACATTTGGGAAAATGTTACTGCATTGTTTAGAAAGTTGATCAAGGAATTAACTTGGCGTAAAGAAACTTATTCCAGAAACACTTTTTAAATAAAGATCCATTAACGTCTTAACATATTTGATTAAGATATTGGCTTCAAGTATATGGGAATCAGAATGACAGTCACAACTTGTCAGAAATGTAGCAAGGGTCGTAATGATCCTTCACCAAGATGAGCAAAAATTAACTCAGGGAAAGTTAGGCATTTTATATATTACTTTATTTAGCTAGTTAGGAGGATCAAAGCTGCCAAGGCCTGGGAAAGGGCAAGAAGAATTGGAAACAGCTTTTTTCCTTGAAAAAATTCGAAGGAAGACTGACATGTTCCTTGTAGCCAAAAAAACACTTTAGCTAAAAATATCTGACTTCAATTTAGCTCTAAAGTGAATGTCCCTTTACCTTGGTTTACTTCATATCCCTTTGGTTTCCCAGCCTGGTAAATCAGTAGTGTCACGTGTCGGGAAAGTTTATTTGAGGAAAAGAATAGAGTAAAATTTATTTTGGCAGGTAGTGTGAACTCTGAAATTTTTTAAAATGTGGATTAATTACCATGTTGTATTTTGCTGATTGCTTGAGTCTTTTAAAAAGGGTTATTTAAATACTACCCAGAATCTCAGATGAGAATGCCATTTAGTGTTTCTCTTCAAAAAGTACAGAATAGATGTTACGTTTTCAAAAACCAAAAAGCAAAAGCCTGTTTCAGGAAGTGTAGTCTGTATGTGAGGTAATAGGCGAGTTGGTTAAATTATCTGGTCAGCTCATGTGCATACAATGACTAACATTTTTCATCTTACTCTTGTTTTTATGTATATCCAGAACTGACCTTCCCTTTCCAAGTTGTGATTTTTTTTTTTCTTCCTTGTTTAGAAGAAGGTGTATGGGTGGGTGCATACATTTTTTGTTTCACAACACAGTCATTTTTTTACTTGGTCACTGCTGTTTTGGTGGTAACTGGATGCCAAAATTGTATACTACAACACTGCACCAGACTTTTGGCCTCTGTCCATAATCAAGTGAATTGCATTTGGAACAGCTCCTGAGGCTTTTATTTGGTATGGTATCAAATTTGGGGAGGGGGGCGCTCAGGGTGGAAATCAAACCAGATTGCTTGACTTTGGTAAATCAAGTGGAAGATGATGCTTTGTTGACTTTTGGAGAGGTTTTCTGGGAGGTGTTTTTGTGCTTGTGTATATAGCTTTGTATAGTACATTTACTGCAGCTGTTTACCGCTAAGTTACTGTAGTCACTCTTCCAAACATCTTTGAGAATAAAAGACTCAATTTCTATAATCAGTTCATTTCCCTTTTATTATATTTACTTAAGTTTTCCATTTGCTTTCATGCAGTAGAAATCTAGAGATAATTTTGTACTAGCTGTTGATTTTAGTACATAGGAATAATATCTGATTTCCCTTAAGTTGATTAAAATAGTTATTTAAAGTTAGTCAACAAATAGCAAAATACAAACTATTTAATCATGTATATGAGGTTGTCTTTAGTTGAGAACCGCAGCAGTAAACACCAAATGAAAGGGCACCTTATTTGGTTAAGGTTAAGACTGAAGTGGTCATTCAGCTCTTTTGATGGGTGATAGAGTATTTGCTCTCTTAAAATTAATTCAGTAATTTAAATGTCAGGCTTTTTTTTTTTTTTTTTATTTGAGACAGAGTCTCATTCTGTCACACAGGCAGGAGTGTGGTGGCACAATCTCAGCTCACTGCAACCTCCACCTTCTGGGTTCAAGTGATTCTCATGCCTCCCAAAGTGCTCGGATTATAGGCGTGAGCCACCACACCTGGCCGCCATGTTTACTCTTAGATGCAGAAAGTAGAATAAGAAATTATTTATTTTAGAAATTATTTTGATGAAGGGAAGCCTTTTTTTTTTCTTTTTCTTTTTTGAGATGGAGTCTCCCTCTGTTGCCCAGGCTGGAGTGCAGTGGCATGATCTCGGCTTACCACAACCTCCACCTCCTGGGTTCAAGTGATTCTCCTGCCTCAGCTTCCCGAGTAGCTGGGACTACAGGCACGTGCCATCATGCCCAGCTAATTTTTGTAGTTTTAGTAGAGATGTTGGCCAGGCTGGTCTTGAATTCCTGACCTCATGATCTGCCCTCCTGAGCCTCCCAAAGTGCTGGGATTACAGGCATGAGCCACCATGCCCGGCCTTTTTTCTTTCTTTCTTTTCTTTTGAGATAGAGTCTCGCTGTGTTGCCCAGGTTGGAGTGCAGTGGCACTATCTTTGCTCACTGCAACTTCTGCCTCCCAGGTTCAAGTGATTCTCCCGCCTCAACCTCCTGGGTAGCTGGGATTACCGGTGCCCACCACCATGCCCAGCCAATTTTTG
The DNA here is from genome assembly GCF_000001405.40 of Homo sapiens. Classification (NCBI taxonomy): domain Eukaryota; kingdom Metazoa; phylum Chordata; class Mammalia; order Primates; family Hominidae; genus Homo; species Homo sapiens. The sequence goes on along the minus strand of NC_000020.11, from coordinate 5,607,131 downwards.
TATTTTTAGTAGAGACAAAGTTTCACCATGTTGGCCAGACTGGTCTTGAACTCCTGACCTCAGGTGATCCACCCGCCTCGGCTTCCTAAAGTGCTGGGATTACAGGCATGAGCCACTGTGCCTGGCCAAAGGGAAGGTTTGCACTAGTGTAGTATTGGGTATTCTAACCAAAATGGTAGAGTTGCCAAATAGGGAATTTCATATCCAAATGTGACATGACTGCACATTGGTGGTCTTGCACTCTGTGAGATGAATATTTGACAGTGTACATTTATAAATATATATATGTGTATGTATTCAGTGTTACATTTTATAATTGATGTAAATGTGATGATACATAGTTTATAGCTAACATAGAGCCTGGACTCTTGACCCTCATCTCAACCTGAGCCCTGTTGATGTTTGGAGCTGGACAATTAATCATTTGTGGAGGGCTGTTCTGCGTATTGTATGGTGTTCAGCAGGGCCTTTACCCCTAGATGCTAGGAGTGCCACTCCCAGTTGTGACAACCAAAAATGCCTCCTGGCATTACCAAATAATCCCCTGGAGGGAAGAATTGCCTTTGGTGAGAACTGCTGGTATAGATCTATCTACCTTGACTGGGAAGTGTGGTTAATTGTGTGTAGCAGTGTTCATTAAATGATTCAGGGGGAGGGGAAGGGAGCAAAGCAGAACTAGAAAAATGACTATGTAAGGTAGCTATGAAAGGTACTTTAGAATTGTTTCATAAGGTAATATATAAATGCAAATGAAATTTAAGCTGGTAGAGTAATGTACATGATGCAGAATAAAGATGTGATTGGAATTCTTGTAACATTGGTGGGGGGGGCAAAGGTTTTTTTGAGGGGTGTTGGAGAAGTTATGATGTAGAATATGGTGTGTCTTTGGATGGAGTATGTTCTTTCTCCATTTAAATTATGTAAGTATCTCGAAGTATATTATATGTACATGTGTGTATTAAGCTATTTTTTATATTCCTTTAGGTACTTAAGTTAGTGGATGGGAAACAGATTCCTTTGACTGACAGGGAAGAAATGAAAAAATTAGCTAGACAAAATGTGGATAAGTGGAAAAGAACTTCAAAGGCTTGGAGTTTAGACTTCTTTCTTATTCTTTTTTTAATCTCCTTAAATTCCTTTTACTATGGAGTTCAGATTTCTATAAATAATCAAAGTGATTCCAAGCCAGGGATGTGAGGAAGAATCCTAATTGACAAAATGGATATAAGGTCAATTAGATAGAATCATCAGGATTTGATAATAGGTTGTAGGTAGAGTTGAGACTGTAAATTTGAGCCTGTAGAACCTGAGTAATGATGGTCCTAGGGTTAATAAAGAGAAAATCTGAAAAGTTATTTGTGTAGAAAGTTTTTTCTTTTTTTTTGGAGGGGGAGGCAGGTGGGGGGGCTCACCTCAACCTCCACCTCCCAGGTTCAAGCAATTCTCCTGCCTCAGCCTCCTGAGTAGCTGAGATTACAGACATGTGCCACCACGCCCGGCTAATTTTGTATTTTTAGTAGAGACGGGGTTTCTCCATGTTGGTCAGGCTGGTCTTGAACTCCTGACCTCAAGTGATCTGCCCTCCTCGGCCTCCCAAAGTGCTGGGATTACAGGTGTGAGCCACTTGCCTGGACTCCTTCTTTTCTTTTTCTTTTAATGATAAGTTACATTGTGTCTTAGAAGCAGATTCTCAAACTTGTTCCACAACATAACAAGTAGTTTGTTTTAGTGGGTGATACTTTGGTTGTTTCCTTTGTGTTAAAGTAGAAATTCATTAAGTGAAGCTTTTTTCTCTCTATAGTTGTTTTTCTTCTCTACCACAGTATTACCCTGGTCAGGAAAGATACCTTGAATTCAGAACAGCTGCTTATCAGAAGAGAAAGTATGTAGCAAAAGAATCTTGACGACTTAAAAAATAACAAGTTTGGATACTTTGTTTTACAGTGTGTATTTCGGGCATGTATTCTGTCTTGTTTTGTTTTCTTTTTGAACATATATTCTGAAAGAATAGCTTTGTAGCACTAGGCTTCAAACTTGCTAGATACTTCCCAAGTAATTGAGTCACTGTTTATATAAGGACTCTGAAATTAATCTTTTTTTTTGCTCATAATTGAGATTCATTTTCATTTTTTGCTTTTTTTAAAAAAACTTTATTGAGACTTTGTGTTTTGTTTTTTTCGAGACAGGGTCTTGCTCTGTGGCTCAGGCTAGAGTACAGTGGCACAGTCACAGCTCACTACAGCCTCAACATCCTGTGCTAAAGTGATCCTCCCAGCTCAGTCTCAATCTGTAGCTGGAACTACAGGCATGCTCCCCATGCCTGGCGTGTGTGTGTGTGTGTGTGTGTGTGTGTGTGTAGACATGAGGCCTCACTATATTGCCCAAATTGGTCTCAAACTCCTGGGCTCAAGTCATCCTCCTGCCTCAGCCTCCTTAAGTGTTTGTATTACAGGCATGAGGCACTGTGCCTGGTTTATTTTTTTGCTTTTTCACTTGTTTCTTTCCCGCCCCCCCCCCCCCGCACTAAAGTTACTTTAAAACAAAAACAAAAACAATCCCACCATAAAACTGCAAAGACATTAAATATTGCTTTTAAAAATATAAATAGCTCTTGGTTGAAGTTGTTTCTTGATGGTGGCTAGCTAAGGCATATATTTTTATACTATAAGTTACTTTTCTTTTTTTTCCTAGCACGACATCATAAAATAAATCCATCAGAATGACACCTTCTCAGGTTGCCTTTGAAATAAGAGGAACTCTTTTACCAGGTATTGTAAAAGTTTTACTTTAAAACAATTAAAATTAAATTAGCATGTTTCTTATCTGGATTACCTTAAATATGGAGTTGCTATTAGAGTGGGCCTGATTTTTTAGATGAAAATATCTATAGGTCTTGCCTGACAGCAGAAATGTGCTTGGAGCATAGTAAACACACCAAAAACCTCCTCAAACTCTGTCTTGTTCTCATGTTTTCCCAAGAAAGCTATGAATTTATACCTAATTTTGCACAGGGCAGAGATGGTTGGGCTGTGGTTTCTAGGCAGTATGAAAATGAAGGAAACTTTGCTAGTGCAAGAAGTTGGTAGGCCGGGCGCAGTGGCTTATGCCTGTAATCCCAGCACTTTGGGAGGCTGAGGCGGGTAGATCACTTGAGGTCAGGAGTTCAAGACCAGCCTGGCCAACATGGTGAAACCCCATCTCTACTAAAAATACAAAAATTAGCCGGATATGGTGGCATGTGCCTGTAATCCCAGCTACTTGGGAGGCTGAGGCAGGAGAATTGCTTGAACCCAGGAGGCAGAGGTTGCAGTGACCTGAGATCGTGCCATTGCACTCCACCCTGGGTGACAGAGCCAGAATCCGTCTCAAAAAAAAAAAAAAAAAAGAATAAGTTGGTGAAACAATTGGCTGGGATAACCTTGTTCCTATGTGTGAATATGTTTTTAGCCTCATTGTATTTTTTGCTGTCCCTTAAAGTGCTGTGAGATAATTTTAGTGTGAGATAGCATGTCAAAGCCGTATCACACCTGGGCTCTCATAAAACTGAGGTACCTCTCGGTTTTATGTACTCTGGCTATACTGGCCTTTCAGTTCCTTAAATGTGCTCCATTCCTTCCTCCTTTCTTCCTCTTTTAGGACGTTCTCAAATGCTGTTTCCTCTGCCTAGATCTTTGCCCACTCTCATACTCCCCCTGTTCCTTCTCTTCTCTCCCCTGTCCCCACTGCCAGCCTCCAGATTCCACTAGGTTCTGGCCCTATTTTATAGCACCTCTTGGAGATTTTATAGAATTATTTGAGTGACAGATTGTAAACTCTGTTGAAAACATTACTTTTTTTTTGAGATGGAGTGTTGCTCTGTCGCCCAGGCTAGAGTGCAGTGATGCGATCCCAGCTCACTGCAACCTCCGCCTCCCGGGTTTAAGCAATTCTCCTGCCTCAGCCTCCCAAGTAGCTGGGATTACAGGTGTCCATCACCGTGCCTGGCTAATTTTTGTATTTTTAGTAGAGACAGGGTTTCACTATCTTGTCCAGTCTGGTCTCAAACTTCTGACCTCGTGATCCACCTGCCTCTCGGCCTCCCAAAGTGCTGGATTACAGGTAGGAGCCACCGTGCCCAGCCCCCTCTTTTTTTTTTTTTTTTTTTTAATTGAGATGGAGTCTCACTCTGTTGCCTAGGCTGGAGTGCAATGACGCGATCTCGGCTCACTGCAACCTCTGCTCCTCGAATTCAAGCGATTCTTCTGTTTTGGGCTCCTGAGTAGCTGGGATTACAGATGCCTGACACCACACCTGGCTAATTTTTGTATTTTTTGTAGAGATGGGGTTTTGCCATGTTGGCCAGGCCAGTCTCAAACTCCTGACCTAAGGTCATCTGCCTACCTTGGCCCCGCAAAGTGCTGAGATTACAGGTGTGAGATTACAGACCGTGCCTGGTCAAAATATGACCTTGTCTTGTTTATGCTGAATTCCTGCGCCTAGCAGAGAGCCTGGATCAGAGCAGGGGCATAGTATATCTGTATTCAAAGAATGAGTGAATGACTCACACTACATCTAGCTTCTTTATTCTAGCATTCATCACAGCAATTGGCAGAGTATGTGTGAGTCTAAGTTCAAATTCTTAGCCAAGATGATCTGGTATAGTTCTACCCCTGGGCAGAATTGAGCAGATTGAAGATTGCTAGTCAGCTGATGGGTTGGCTCCCTTGAGCCAAGTGCTCACCTCTGGTTTAGTGTGTGGCCACTTCCGTGGAGAGAAGACGGAATTTTCTCTTTCTGGGGAGTTGTAGGCAGGCAGTTGAAGCTAGAAGGAGCTGGCCATGTCGGGCAAATGGACTGACCGCAGAACTGGCCACAGAAGTGTCAGCTTGATTGGGGTCAGGGATTAGAGGGAAGGAGATAATGGTGGATGTGGATATAGATGACTCTGTACGTGCCAAGGAGGAGGCTGAGGGACAGCAAGGGGATACTGGGGGAGACCCCACCTCAATTCCCCCATCACCTTGATTTCCTCACTGCACAGGAGGAAGGACCCTCTGCTAAATGTGGCGAGAATGGTAGTGCAGAGAGGACTGACCTTGGGGGAAACAAGTACAACCAGGAGAGGATACAAATAGAGTATGTGGAGGTGCTGTTTGCAGATTTCTTTAGTAAGCATTCAAGTCTTCATAATCTTTTATAACTGAGAGCCAATTAAAGAAAGGTCTGTTTGTTTTAGTGAAAAATTTCCTCATTTTCAGCAGCCATATTCCCCTGGAATCAGCAGAAAGAGAAAGTAACATTGCAGGGGGAATTGGTAAAATGCAGGAGCACCTATAAGAGGCAAGTGAACCACTGAGTCCCCATTTTACTTTTTCCAATTGGAGTTTGTTCTTTTCATAGCAAAAAGTAGCCTGCTGTTTTATGTGGGGGATGAGAAATAACGAGTCCATGAAGAAGTTTTTTTTGTTGTTAAGAGACAGGGTTGGCTGGGCATGGTGGCTCATGCCTGTAATCCCAGCACTTTAGGAGGCCGAGGTGGGTGGATCATCTGAGGTCAGGAGTTTGAGACCAACTGGACCAACAAGGTGAAACTCCGTCTCTACTAAAAATACAAAAATTAGCCGGGCATGATGGTGCGTGCCTGTAGTCCCAGCTACTCGGGAGGCTGAGACAGGAGAATTGCTTGAACCCTGGAGGTAGAAGTTGCAGTGAGCTGAGATTGCGCCACTGTACTCCAGCCTGGGCGATGGAGCAAGACTCCATCTCAAAAAAAAAAAAAAAAAAAAAAAAAGATTAACAGGGTCTCCCTCTATTGCCCAGGTTGAAGTGCAGTGGTGCAGTCATAGCTCCTCAAACTCCTGGACTCTGGTGATCCTCCTGACTCAACCTCATGAGGAACTGGGACTATAGGTGCACAACACAGTGCCTGGCTAATTTTAAAATTATTCTTACTTAAAATTTTTTTTTGTACAGACAGGGTCTCACTATATTGCCCAGGCTGGAGCGCAGTGATGCAATCTTGGCTCACTGCAACCTCTACCTCCCCCCAGGTTTAAGTGATTCTCATTCCTCAGCCTCCCGAGTAGCTGGAATTACAGGTGTGTGCTGCCATGCCCAGCTAACTTTGTGTTTTTATCTATTTTATTTAAAAAAAATTTTTTTCGAGACAGAGTCTTGCCCTGTCACCCAAGCTGAAGTGCAGTGGCATGATCTTGGCTCACTGCACCCTCCACCTGCCAGGTTCAAGCGATTCTCCTGCTTCATCCTCCTGAGTAGTTGCGATTACAGGTGCTTGCCACCATACCCGGCTAATTTTTTTTTTTTTAAGAGTCTCGCTCTGTCGCCCAGGCTGGAGTGCACTGGTGTGATCTTGGCTCACTGCAGCCTCAGCCTCCTGGGTTCAATTGATTCTCCTGCCTCAGCCTCCTGAGTAACTGGGATTACAGGTGCCTGCTACCACACCCAGCTAATTTTTGTATTTTTAGTAGAGATGGGGTTTCACTATGTTGGCCAGGCTGGTCTTGAACTCCTGACCTAGTGATCTGCCTGCCTTGGCCTCCCAAAGTGCTGGGATTATAGGCATGAGCCACCGCACCCGGCTTGCACCCAGCTAATTTTTTATTTTCAGTAGAGATGAGGTTTCACCATGTTGTCCAGGCTGGTCTTGAACTCCTGACCTCAAGTGATCCACCCACTTCAGTCCCCCAGAGTGCTGGGATTACAGGCATGAGCCAATCTCACCTGGCCTTTTTGTATTTTTAGTAGAGACAGGGTTTTGCTAGTTGGCCAAGCTGTTCTCAAACTCCTGGCCTCAAGTGATCTCCCTGCCTTGGCCTCCCAAAGTGCTGGGATTACAGGCATGGGCCACTGCGCCCGGCCCACATGTATTTAGAGCCCTGAAATCTGAATGACTGTCACACTTGGAATTTTAGTTAATTTTTAGATAGTCCAAGCTAATAAAATGCTCATGCAGGTGGCTAAAGCTGAGTACAATTCTAGTCTTACTAGAGCAGTGCCTCAAGCTTGGAATCCCAGCTGTTCTCAGAATGTGGAGGAGTCTGTCTTGAGCCAAATTGGCAGTTGGACTCAGTTCATTATCTTTTTCTTTATGAATTTTAATTGTATTCAGAATGTGTTGATATTTAAGTCAGAGACTTCTACGTACTTTTATCCAAGTGTGTTCTGCTAAATATATAAAATTTAGCAAGAAGAGGTGGTAGCTTTATGTTGGCTTTTAAAGTCTATTGATAAGTGTTCAAAAGAAATGATACATTACCTTAGTTAAGAAGTACTAGATTTTGGCTGGGCGCGGCGGCTCATGCCTGTAAACCCAGCACTTTGGGAGGCCAAGGCGGGCAGATCACCTGAGGTCAGGAGTTCAAGACCAACCTAGCCAATATGGTTACCCCATCTTTATTAAAAATACAAAAATTAGCCGGTTGTGATGGTGCGCACTTGTAATCCCAGCTACTAGGGAGGCTGAGGCAGGAGAATTGCTTGAACCTGGGAGGTGGAGGTTGCAGTGAGCCCAGATCATGACACTGCACTCCAGCCCAGGCAACAGAGAAAAACTCCATCTCCAAAAACCAAGAAGTACTAGATTTTCCAACTATATAAGTCTTTGTTTTGATGGGTTTTTAATTACATTTCTGCTCTCTCATTGACAGTTTTGTTTCTGTTGTTTTTGAGATGGAGTCTTGCCCTGTTGCCCAGGCTGGAGTATAGTGGTGTGATTTCGGCTCACTGCAACCTCTGCCTCCTGGGTTCAAGTGAATTCTCCTGCCTCAGCCTCCTGAGTAGCTGGGATTACAGGCATCTGCCCCCACACGCCCACCTCAGCTTCCCAGAGTGCTGGGATTACAGGTGTGAGCCACCACGCCTGGCCTTAATAATGTTCTTGATGTGAAACTTATTAGTAGCTACTGTTTGACTTTCTAGAAAATATTGATTAATAACCCTTTAGAGTACTGATAGGCATTTAGTGTTTGTCTGTTAAAATTGGAAGCTGTCTTGAAAGCAGAGACTGTGGTTTTATCCCTTTTGTACTCTTGGGTTCTTGTTACTGGCTCAATGAGTAGTTGAACAGATGAAGAAAACTTCATCCGTATGCCTTCCCCCTTTTCTCTGGCTTTGGTTCTAGAAAGGTGAGTCGAGTTAATTGGCAGGTGTTAGTGAGTGGTAGGTACCTGGGCCCAAACCTATATCTAGTGAGGCTCTTTCATCTCTGCTAAAGGGGGCAGCATATCTGGTTGAACTAATGCAAACTTCCCTGCTTATCCCACTGTGACTGATTGTTCTGTTTCTCTGTGACTGATTGTTCTGTTTCTTTAGGAGAAGTTTTTGCGATATGTGGAAGCTGTGATGCTTTGGGAAACTGGAATCCTCAAAATGCTGTGGCTCTTCTTCCAGAGAATGACACAGGTGAAAGGTGAGTATGGAAATGTGAGGTTACAGAATAACTGTGACATTAACCTTATGATGTTAGGGGCTTTTAAGATATCTTGGTATTTTTTCTTTTAGTTATAATTTTTATCAACATTATCACGTTGCATAGTTTTATGAGTGAAATAATTTTACAAAATTTGTGTGGGAAAAACAGGTTCCTCTCTTACTGTTAATCCCTGCCTCTCAACCACTTTCATTTCTTTTTTTTTTTTTAGATGTATTTTTTATTTTTACAACTCAGGATAATTGAATATACTTTTAATTCTTGACTGGTTCTTTAGGTACTTACCACCATAATTAGTTAGACAGGGTCTCACTCTGTTACCCAGGCTGGAGTACAGTGGTGTGATCCTAGCTCAATGCAGCCTTGAACTCCTGGGCTGAAGCGATCCTTGCGCCTCAGCCTCCTGAGTAGCTGTGACTATAGGCACCCATGACCATGCCTTGTTAATTGTGGTTGTTTTTTTGTTTTTTGTTTTTGGTGTGGAGATGGCATTACTTTTTTGTTTGTTTGTTTTTTGGGGTTTTTTTTGGCACAAAGGTGGTGTCTGGTTATGTTGCCCAGGCTGATCTCAAATTCCTGGACTTGAGATCCTCCCACCTTGCTTTCTTATTTGAAGAAACATTTTAAGGCATTAACATTTGTCTGGTCACTATATATTATTTTCTTCTTTTTAATTTTTTCTGATTTCTTTTTTTAATGGTAAGTACATATTCTTGATAAGAGATCTAATTTTTGTATTTGCCTATAAAAGTATTTCCTTGAAGTATGTGGTGTTAAAAGGAGCAGAGAGTGGAACACATACTTAGATAGCTTAGCTAATATGAAGAAATGTATTCACTAGTGGCATTGAATCCATCAGTAAACTTAGTATGGGCACAGTGGATGGAGAAAGGTAAATCTGGGTGTCAGCCACTCTTCTGCAGTTAAGTGTGAACTTGGGCGGCTGATGTCTGTAGGCCTCAGTTACCTCATCTGCATGATAAAAAGGGGTTAGCATAGATGAGTGGATGTCAGCAGAGGTGGCACTTACCCCACTGTGGATAGTTGGAAGTGTTATAGGTTTTCCTAAATAGCATACAAGTATATCCAGTGCCCGATTAGGTGATTGCTAAGGCTCTATTTTCCTGTAGAGCAGCATGTCTTAAAATGTGGCCTGTGCACCAGTACCAGTCCAAAAGACTTTTAAAAAAATCAATCCATGATGTGAGAAATACAAAAACTGAGAGCAAGCATTTAGAAATGTGTATAGCAGTTTGACTCCATGCATGTCACTGTGGACACATCTCATTGAACTGGGTATGTAGATCAGAATATTGGTCACCAGACAGGTTGAGTAAAGCAAACAAAAAATGCTGGTCATTCACAGCAAATAGTTTGAGGAGCACTGGTGGTAAAGCAACGGAAAATAACAAAGGAAAGTAAAAAAATAACAGTAATGTAAGCTAGGAGAAAGAAAATTAAAAAACACAGAACTCCCTTTTTTCTAGTTTGTCACTAGTATGACATATTTTCTCAGCCAATTCTCAGCTCTCCTTATAAGAGTTCTGTTGGTAAATAGTATTACTTTAATAGTATATATTCTTTACTAGTCTTTCACAGACTAGTATTTCCTTCAAGTGGCTATTTTTTCTTCGATTTTCAGATCAGCCACTCTGGTCTGAAGTGAAACCTCATATCTTTCTGAACTTGTCTCTAAAACACACCCCTGCCTGTCCTAAGTCAGTTTCAGCCAACTTGGTCAAAAAGATGTGAACAGGATAAGACACTTAACAATTTTAAGAGGACCAGTTGTTCATATGTTGTGCATGTACAATGAAATAGAATTGATTCACAGGTAGCAGATAAACAGTGTTTCACAGGGAGAAGGGAGTAGATACACAGGAATCCATGTGCCTTTAGACAATATTCGTGAGTTTTAAAATTGTGTTTCTTTGGAATTTTAATGTGCTCTGCATCTAAGTCTGCTGTGCCCCTGTCTTTCAGGGAGCGTCTTAAGCTTTCTCTTACCAGCTCTCCCTACCCACAGGCTCATGGCAGCTAGAGCTCTCCTGGAATTTTTTTCTGCTTAGAGAAAACTTGAAGGTCATGGTATTGTTTCCTAATACTGCTGAAGATGTGGGTCACTTGTGGTTTCATTTGCCCTCCTTGTAGATTTTATGGTATTTTGGGAAAGGATATAAGGGCAATTCAGAATTAGGCAGCTGCACTAAACCACCATATGACTACCCGTCTTTCCTGGTTTTGATTTAATTTCATCAGATTATTTTGTCTTTAGTTCACCAAATAGTTCTGATTCTTTTTTTAAAATTTTTTAGACAGGGTCTCATTCTGTCACACAGGCTGGAGTGCGATGACACGATTTCGGTTCACTCTAACCTCAAACTCCTGGGCTCCGGTGATCTTCCTGCCTCAGCCTCTCGAGTAGCTAGGTGTACACCATCATGCCCAGCTCATTAAAATTTTTTTATAGAGATGAGGTTTCACTGTGTTGAGACCTAGGCTGTTTGTGAACTCCTGGCTCAAGCTGCCCTCCCGCCTCAGCCTCCCAGCGTGCTGGGTATAAGCCACTATGCCTGGGTTCTGGTTCATTCTTAAATTTGCCACATTTGCTTAGACAAGTGGAGTAAAAAGACTCACTGCTTTGCCTTCTTCATCTCTTGTTTTCATTTAGTGGTTCTTTACCAGGGATCGCATTAGAATCACTTGGGAGGACTTGAAAAAAAATACACATACCTAGATCCTGCTCCTGGAGATTGAGAAATAATGGCTGAGGGAGAGGCGGCAGCACGTTTTTCACAGCTTATTAGTAATTCTACTCTGCACTAGTGGGGCTAGTTTCACATGCTCCAACTGGCTGTTTTGGAGATGAGGTAGTACTGGGAATTTGTCCCCCCCCCTTTTTTTCTTTTTGGGGTAGCAGAAATGGCAACTTTCTATTCTTAATTGGAAGAGTCCACCTGGAAACCTCTGTTGAAAAGGATTCTGAGGCTTATTGGGGAAAAATAGGGAACATGTGTCAAGCATTTGCTATTCTTTTTTTGTTTTTGTTTTTGTTTTTGTTTTGAGATGGAATCTCACTCTGTCACCCAGGCTGGAGTACAGTGGCGCGATCTGGGCTCACTGCAACCTCAGCCTCCCAGGTTCAAGTGATTCGCCTGCCTCAGCCTCCTGAGTAGCTGGGATTACAGGCTTGTGCCATCTCGCCTGGCTAATTTTTATATTTTTTGTAGAAATGTGGTTTCATAATGTTGGTCAGGCTGGTCTTGAACTCCTGACCTCATGATCCGCCCACCTCAGCCTCCCAAAGAGTTGGGATTACAGGCGTGAGCCACCACGCCTGGCAGCATTTGCTATTCTTGCTTTAAAGCAGTGATTTTTACTTATTTATTATTTATTTATTTTTTATTATTATACTTTAAGTTCTAGGGTACATGTGCAGAACGTGCAGGTTTGTTACATATATATACATGTTCCATGTTGGTTTGTTTAAAGCAGTGATTTTTAAAAATGTACATACCTTAATTAAAAAATACTTTATTGCTAAAAAATGATACAATCATTTGAGCCTTTAGTGAATTGCAATCTTTTTGCTGGTGGAGAGTTTTGTCTCAATGTTGATGGCTGCTAACTGATCAGAGTCGTGGTTGCTGAAGGTTGAAGGACAGTGTCAATTTCTTAAAATAAGACAGTGAAGTTTACTACATTGATTAACTGTTCCTTTCATGAAAGATTTTTCTGTAGCATGCAATCACCATAACAGATATAATAATAACAAAAAAGTTTGAAACATTATGAGATTTGCCAAACTGTGACATAGACACGAAGTAAGCACATGTTGTTGGGAAAATGGCACTGATAGACTTGCTCGACTCAAGTTTGCCACAGACCTTCAATTTGTAAAAAACACAGTATCTGTGAAGTATAATAAAGTGCAATACAATGAGCTATATCTGTATTTATTTTAGGAGCTAAGCTTGTATCAGAGTAAGGACAATGCCCTAAAACCTGTCTTAGCAGAGCCAGGTAGGGCTAAACTACTCATGCTGAATTAACGTTTGGTTAATGGTCTATGACAGGGGTTCTCAAAGTGTTTATAAAAGTTACCTGGAGGCGGCCGGGCCTGGTGGCTCATGCCTGTAATCCCAGCACTTTGGGAGGCCGAGGCGGTTGGATCATGAGGTCAGGAGATCGAAACCATCCTGGCTAATGCGGTGAAACCCGTCTCTACTAAAAATAAAAAAACAAAGTTAGCCAGGCGTGGTGGCGGGTGCCTGTAGTCCCAGCTACTGGGGACGCTGAGGTGGGAGAATAGCATGAACCCGGGAGGCGGAGCTTGCAGTGAGCTGAGATCGCGCCACTGCACTTCACTCTGGGTGACAGAGCAAGACTCCGTCTCAAAAAAAAAAAAGTTACCTGGAGGCTTGTTAAAATACAGGTTACTGGGCCCCCACCCCCAGAGTTCCTAATTCAATAAGTCTGGGTAGGGCCTGAGAATTTGCATTTCTAAGAAGCTCCCAGCTACTAATGATGGTCTGGGACCATGCTGTGGATAGCACTAGTTTATTATTTGAAGCTAAAACTCAGTTACAGTAATGAATTGTAGTGAATTCTTGACCTTAAGGCAGCTGTTGAGTCAAATCTTTAGTTTCTGTTAGAATAACATAGTTCAGAGAAAGACATTGGCCTGAAACAAGATACAGGTTCTGACTGCTTGTCTGAGGAATAGCCAGAGCCTGGGTAGGACAGCTTAGAATAACGGATAGTCAAGAATAGGAGTGTAACTCATGTTTATCTCTCATTTGTGACACAAAAGCTGCGACCCAAAGTCTCTTATCAGCCATGTAACATCCCTCGCTAAGTGGGAAGTCACAGAAGATTCTGACTCTGGCTTCCACTTTTGTACAACTTGAATTTTCTGTTTGGAAACTTATCCTGGCTCTTTATATGGCTGGTTCCTTCTCATCATTTAGACCTGAGCTCAGACAGCGCTTCCTCATTAAAACCTTCCTTCCTTTTAAAAGCCTCCTCCAGAACTTCGTTCTGTCTATCTTCTTTGGTTATTTTTCTGTCTACCCACACAGCAAAGGAAGCTCTTTGAAGATAAGGCTCTTTCTGCAGTATATACCCCTGTGTTCCCATTGCCTGCTACAGAGTAGGCCTGTAAAATTTTGTGTAGGAATAAATAAGTGATATTGGTCATACGTTTTATTTGAGGAGTTTTGTGAATTAAGAAGTCTTTATGCACTGTAGTTTGATATTGATGCTGCTGCTTTTAATTTTCTTTCTTCACAGCATGCTATGGAAAGCAACCATTGTACTCAGTAGAGGAGTATCAGTTCAGTATCGCTACTTCAAAGGGTACTTTTTAGAACCAAAGGTATGTTTTCTTTATCTAGTTTCCAATTCCTTTAGCACTTCCTTCAAAAGCAACTCACTTAAGTTTGAACACGTTCAAAGTAAAATGCATTTGCTTTGGTCAAATAAGGAATAGAACTCTTGATTAATAAAATTTACCAAAACCAAGGAAGTAGCCACTTCAGAGGCAGATGATGTCTGCCATGGAATTTTAAAAAGACATAGTAAGTATGTTCTGCAGTATTCTTATGAAATTGGTTTTAATGTGTTCTCTGTAAGTGTGCATTTTCGGTAACTTTTGTAAACTAGTTAGGAACCACTTGCAGAGCTTTTACTTTTGGTTTTGTTTTTTAATCCTTATGTGATGTAAATACATTTAGAGAAGTATATAGCCTGTTTTAAGTGAGTAATTAAAAAAATTATTTCACAGCAGCCATCTCTTAGTGGCTGTGTTAACTCTGATCAAAATTTAATTGATTCCTTTTAGATTTTTTCAAAGATGTTATTGATAAGACCCCTATCTTTTCTGGAGGCCTTTGGCATATCTATTCTAAATTTGCCTGTTCACAATTCATTATTTTGGGATTGTTTTCATATTCAGAAAAGAAAAAAAGTTAATCATTTTCCTTTTATTCTAAAGATACTTATTTGCTGAAAGGATTCTTTTCCTTCAGACTTTTACATTTGACACCCTTGGGCTGCATATGAACAAGGGTTTAGGCAGGGGTCTAGGATACAAATCATGGATTAGCTCTTGTTAAAAAATGTATTTCCTTTGGGAGTCATTAAGTGTTTTTGTTACGTGTGAAAAATGCAAGCAGCCACTGTTACCTCGTGCTCTTAGCCACCATTATACAAAGAAAAGAGACAAAATGACAAAAAATGACAAACCCACTTTAGCTGTCTTTTGCACCTATTACGTTTCTTGTTCCAAGAATATTTTGTGAATACACAGTAATTGAACTTAAATTACATTGTGGTTGATCATTGTGTTGGCTTTTCTTGACAATAGTTTCACTTTAACTTAAGAAAAGGGCATCTCATTTATTTGGCATGGGGTTATGCATCATGGTAAAGTTCTTTAGTATAACTTAAGCAATTGTGTGTAGATACATAGGTCATAGATATGGAAAGTTTACCTGAGGATCCTGGTATATGAAATTTAGCTTTGTAATATGTGAAACCAACTAAATTTTACTTAGGGGAGTTTGGATGAGAAAGATGATAATGAGTTCTTTGGGCATAGTTTTCTAAAGTAAGACTATTGTCAACACAGGTCAAATTAAGCCAACCTAAGTATTTATCCTCTTCATTGAAAATGTTACCAAAAGCAGCAGATCAGTCCAAAATACCTTTTGAAAAAATTGGCAAGAAGTCTGCTTAACAGTAAAAACAAGTTTTTCTCCTTGTAATACTTGCAAAAGTTTACAGTATGTGTTGGTGAGTGTGTTTCTTTAAGTAGGTGCTCTGTATCGTGTACACATGTACCGTGTGATGCAGGGGCTGCCATGGTAAGTATGTTTTTCATGGAATCGAGTAAATAGCTACATAAAATCCCATGCATATGGCTACAGTTTTTTTCTCCACATGCCAGCTTAATGTGACACTTTAAAAAAGTTGGTGGCGCTTTTTAAATAAAACATTTTTAATAGAAGTATTATGAAACTTTGTCTAGTTGTACATTGTCAAATAATAGAAGTAATGTGCAAGGCATCTTAAATTGTGAAATGATGTAAATTATTGGAATACATAATGTTACGAATATAAAGAATGATAGGAAAACAAATAATGAAAGCATTAAAAAGCTGAAATGGGAGAAAGGTTAATTTTACTGTGTTGAAAGTTTTAGGAGGTAATCTACCCAGGCAGTTTTGGAACCAAAGCTAAAAGTTTTGCGATTATGGACAAGCCAGTTGACCTTTAGGCTTTAGCCTCCTCATCTATAAAACAAAAGGTTTGAACTACAGATTTTTAGATCCTTTCATTGCAAAATTTTATTGAGTAAATGAAATTTTACCATTCATTTTTCTTCCATGCACTGCTTTTTCTGGCATATTCCTTTTAGTTTAGAAGAGTCCTGAAATCGTTTTTCTCAGTTTTTCACAATGACGTGTTCTCTTTGTGAATTAAGATAAGGTGTTAATGTGTTACATTTTAAAATAATTTCACAGATGACAAAACAAAATAGTATCTTATTTGAACATAGCACACAAAAGTAGTGAGTATTCCTGGAATGAAAACATTGGTATGAATCTGCAGGTAGTCCACTGATGTCACATCTTCACCAAAGATACTTTCTGAATTAACATGTAATTTCAACTTTTTTTTTTCTGTATCCACCCCTCTTTGCTTGTGGGTAGAATTAGGGATGTTTCCTCATAGTCAAATGTTAGCCAGTTTTTCATTGTATCCTTTGAAATTTTTCCTTCATTTTTGTAGAAATACATCTTTATTTTTCAGCACATATCTATGTTTCTAACTTTCATAGCTGCTAACATTCACTCATAATTAGATTCATTACAAACTATCTTATTTTGACCTCGATCTCCCTTGAGTTTTAAGTCCTTCCTTTAACAAGACAATCAGTCACCTGCGATAGATAATTATTTTCAGAATAGTCTAGTTTGTCATTTTGTACAATAGTTTATTAGTATCTAAAATTCTTCTGAATAGTAAATACTGTCAGGTGTTAACTTGAGATTTGAATACTCTCAGAGAGTCTGTTGGCCTAGCTTCCTTTGCTTTACTCATGCCTAGGTGACTGTTTCTTTTACTGGTTGTACTAAAAATAGAGATTTTTTTTTTTGAGACAGAGTCTTGTTCTGTCGCCCAGGCTGGAGTGCAGTGGCACGATCTCGGCTCACTGCAACCTCCGCCTCCTGGGTTCAAGTGATTCTTCTGCCTCAGCCTCCAAGTAGCTGAGATTACAGGCATGCAACCACTATGCCTGGCTAATTTTTATATTGTTTTAGTAGAGACAGGGTTTTGCCGTGTTAGCCAGGCTGGTCTCAAACTCCTGACCTCAGGTGATCCACCCGCCACAGCCTCCCAGAGTGCTGGGATTACAAGCAGGAGCCACCGCACGTGGCCTTGATTCCTCAGACCCCCTTTTACATTCAGTTTGTTTTCAAAATTGTGGAAGAAAAACAATCAGTAAAAGTTTTAAAAATTTGTGATATATGCAAGCAGTGATATTACATGGCTAGCTAATAATTTTGCTTGGTGATTTGTTAAAAAACAAACTTCCAATCTACATATTGGATAGTCTTATTTAAATTTCAGTGCTTGGTATAACTGAGTGATGTCAGTAACTGTTTAAGAAAACAATCATTAAGACTTATTCTTGTGGGAAGAAATTTTTAAAAATATTTTTGTTAATATACATGTTTGGAAACATTTCTACAGTCGTGTGACATTATGTATGCTAAATTGTGAAATAGCTCTACCAGTACTGTTAATGGAATATTGTCTTAGATTGACATCATTACTTTTTTCTCCAAAGATCTATCTCCCATGTTACTCCAAAAAGCTTAAAATTTTGGCAGACTTTTCCAGAATGTTTTGTTTCAGAACTGTTTCCTTTTCTTAGATCTTAAAGAATAAGTTATTACAGATAATGTATTAGAAAGTATTGCATGTACAATGAGACCAGGATTAAAAAATAAATGAAAGGATTGCATGTTTTGGGGTTATCACTGAGATTTTGAATTTCCCAGTGCTCAGTTGTTAGTTTTTATTTATTTTTTTGAGATGGAGTTTCGCTCTTGTTGCCCAGGCTGGAGTGTAATGGCTCATTGCAACCTCCGCCTCCCAGGTTCAAGTGAGTCTCCTGCATCAGCCTTCCGAGTAGTTGGGATTACAGGCATGCACCACTATGCCCGGCTAATTTTTGTATTTTTAGTAGAGATGAGGTTTCTCTATGTTGGTCAGGCTGTTCTCTAACTCCCGACCTCAGGTGATCCACCCGCTTTGACCTCCCAAAGTGCTGGGATTACAGGCGTGAGCCACCACGCCTGGCCTGTTAATTTTTTTTTAAAGAAGTAAAGCTGAAAATTTAAGATTGCCTTCTAAAGTTTAATAAAGTAGGCTTAACAATTTTGGAAATTCAGTGTATTTTAAAACTAGGTTCTTTTTTTTCTATATTATAACAGTTTACCAACCAATGTACATTTCTAGTCTGAATGATGATAGACATAGTTCTGTCATCAGTTTACCTGGCCCTTTGGACTGTTCCTCAAATATGCTATTCTATTCAAGTCTAGGTGGTTTTATGCAGTGGGGTAGTGGGCAGATGAGACTGGAGTTGTTAAAATTGCTACTGAAATATGTTCCCTATCAAATTTAATCCAAAGGATTATTCTTACTTGATTAAGTAAAGATACTGCTATCAACAGTCTATAAAGTTCCCCTGACATCTGAATTAAAACAAAACAAACAGTCTGCTATGCCGTTACCTCTTTTTGACATTTAATATTATATTCATAGCACCCTTTTCTTTTTCTTTTTTTTTTCTTTTTCTTTTTTGAGACATAGTCTCGCTCTATCGCCCAGGCTGGAGTGCAGTGGCGCAATCTCAGCTCACTGCAGCCTCCGCCTCCCAGATTCATGGGATTCCCCTGCCTTGGCCTCCCAAGTACCTAGGATTACAGGCGTGTGCCACCATGCCTGGCTAATTTTTGTATTTTTGGTAGAGATGGGGTTTCACCATGTTGGCCAGGTTGGTCTCGAACTCCTGACCTCAAGTGATCTGCCTGCCTTGGCCTCCCTAAGTGCTGGGATTACAGGCATGAGCCACTGTGCCCAGGCTGTTTCTATTTTTATGTATGTATTTGCGACTTTTTTTTGAGAAGGAGTCTCACTCTGTCGCCCACGCTGAAGTGCAGTGGTGTGATCTTGGCTCACTGCAACCTCTGCCTCCCACGGTCAAGCAATTCTCGTGCCTCAGCCTCACATGTAGCTGGGACTACAGTTGTGTGCCACCACACCTAGCTAATTTTTGTATTTTTAGTAGAGATGGGGTTTCACTATGTTGGCCAGGCTTGTCTCAAACTGCTGACCTCAAGTGATCCACCTGCCTTGGCCTCCCAAAGCGCTGGGATTATAGGCATGAGCCACCATGCCTGTCCTATATTTGCAACTTTTGAGGTTTAGAAAGTTTGATATTTAAAAAACACATTTAAAAAATATTTCAGGAAAAATGTTATAGTAAACATCATCTAGAATTAATTTGATTTTCTTTTTAGTATAATGGATACGAAAGTCACCATATTTTTAAAAGAGCAATTTCACATTACATTTTTAAAAAATCTACCCAGTCTACCAATTAAGGTGAACTATTATAGCAGGGAAGTGTTTAGCTAGAGAAAAAGAGAATTTTATTTAGTATCCCAGGAGTAATGATTTGAAGAAATATATCGTGCTATTTTAGTTTTTAAACTTCAGAAGTTTGAGGATTTCAGAAAAGAATTTAGCCTGGTTATTTTAAGTGACAGGATTATTTATTGCATTTAATAATTAATAATGTGCCTAATTTGTTACATATTTGTTATTGTTTGGCTTATCGTCAAATTTAATCAATATTAAAATCCTATAGAAAGTGTAGGAGAATATTTTAATCCATTATTAATGCCTTCTAAAGATAATAGAGAAGCTTTTATGCCTAGGCTTTTTAAGAGTATGTATAGGCTGGGCACAGTGGCTCACACCTGTAATCCCAGCACATTGGGAGGCTGAGGTGGGTGGATCACGAGGTTAGGAGTTCGAGACTAGCCTGGCCAACATGGTGAAGCCCCATCTCTACTAAAAATACAAAAATTACCTGGGTGTGGTGGCACGTGCCTTTAATTCCAGCTACTCAGGAGGCCGAGGCAGGGGAATCACTTGAACCCAGGAGGCAAGGGTGCAGTGAGCCGAGATTGTGCCATTGCACTTTAGCCTGGGTGACAGAGTGAGACTCTGTCTAAAAAAAAAAAAGAGTATGTGTAATATAATGCCTAGAAAAGGGCTCAAAGATTATATGTGAAAATCTTGATGGTGATTATCCCTAAATGGTATGATATGGGTGAGTTTTGTATTTTCTTTTTGCTTCTCTGTATTTAATTACATTTATGTAACAAATAAAATACCTTGTAAGATTATAGTTTGAAAATGTGCTTCCAAAATGTGTATTTAAGGGTTTTATTTCAGCATAATAACTAGTGAGTTTCTTTTTAAAAATTAAAGGAAAATTAGAACACTTAAATTTTAGTCTTTTAGGTATACTCAGGGAATCTTTCATGGTTACTCACTACCGCATATGTTATCAACACATAGCTTTATGTTCTTTTTTAGTAGGGGAGCTTGATAATGGAAAACAGTATGAGGAATTGTCACACTGTATGAGATTTTAAACTAAGGCATAAGAATGAAACCGGATGTTAGTTCCTCTTTTATCACACTTGCTCTTCAAGTTTACCTGGCCACATGTCCCTTCTAGAATTTCCCGTGTTCTTTAGAAACACTGGTTCCTATGATATGAGAAATCTTCCTGTTTTTCACTTAGTATTCTTAAATATATGTAATAAATAACTTTATTATGGTTCTTTAGTTCCTTGAGTAGCTTGCGATAATTGTTCTTGAGTACTTGTTCCTACTATTTTTACTATTGTAGGCTTGTTTAGGCTTTTTCTAAATGCATAGAGCAGGAGGTACATACTTTATCTAGCAATACCTCATTGATGGCTGACATACCAAAGAAAGTATATATGATATTTATCTTAAGAATTAATATCAGTTAAAAATGAAAATTTCTTTGAAACAATTGAGTATTGTAGGCAGATTTAGGAATGGGTTTGAGACAGTTCTGTGTGCCAGTTCATCTCATTTTTCTTTGTTTACTGCCTCACTCTAATTTTCTTCCAGCATTTCATCTTGTTTTGTGATCTGGTACATTCCAGGCTTTTGGCATATAATATTGATAATAAGATGAATCTTTTGGTCTCATATTTAGTATAAGATTTAGGCCACAAACATCTAATGGAGTCATGGGTAGAAAATAAGATATAAGAAATTATTGCAGACGTTTAACTTTTAAATTGCAGACTATCGGTGGTCCATGTCAAGTGATAGTTCACAAGTGGGAGACTCATCTACAACCACGATCAATAACCCCTTTAGGTATGGGCATTAACTGCATCTGTTTGAGGCATATGCATAAAGTTACTAATATGCTGCACAATGGCTTAGTGGGATTTAATAAATTTTTATTCTAAAGTTAAGGTCAATGCATTGTCAGTGCTACAAATTTCACTGAGCATTTCATGGATCTTTCAAAACAACAGTTTTTAATTGCCTCTTAAAATAAACTTTATTAGAAATATTTACCTAGATATTTTTGTTTTCTTGGGTTAGATTAGTTTATTATGAAATATTCACTTTCATTTGGAATGGTTAGGAAGTTTATAAGATACCATTCTTCTTGACTGAGCATCCATAGCTCTATTTGTTTACTTGCTCAGGCTTAACGAACATTTGAAGAAAAAATTAATCCAAAACAAAGATTCTTAAATTTTTAACTTTGAATATTAATAGAGTAAGTTATTCTATTTTTTCTTTTCTTCTTAATTTTTTTAAGAGAAATTGGTAAATACTTGAATAAACTTGTATGAATGAATTCAAATTTCTTAAATTCCCTATTGGCTATGCTAGAATTGCTACTTGGAAAGTTTTCTTTTTTTTTTTTGTCTTTTTTTTTTTGTAAGTTGTTTTCTTTTAAACACATTAACTTTTCTTATGCTTAAATATGGCATTTCTCTTCATACAAGTATTTTTGAATTTCTTAGTCCATATTGAAAATCGAATTTGAAGTTCACTTCACATACATTAAATTACCCACATGTATTCATCTGTAAATTGACTCAGTGCTGAGAAATGTATCTTTTAGTTTCTAGGTAAAGTTAAAATTGAAAGATAACTGGATGCCAGTTTTCTGGTTTAAATTAGAAAGCAGTGGGAGTTTCTGCTTTATCCTGGAGTAAGGACACATCTCATTTAAACAGTATCTCATTCCATCCTCTTTATTGGATTTTCTTTTTGTATGTTTTAATACATTTTTGATAGTGTATTTAGGATTTTTATGAGAGTATACTTAAAATTATAATATTCCCATACTGAGGTTGGAACTTACTAGGTATTGAATGTTTTAAAAAATTGTATTTTAAAGCATCTTGCAGTTAAATATATTTTATTATGAGAAGTGGGATGATTTTGTTTCTATCTTTTAGAAAGGAATGTATACTTTTGAGAAATATAACTTTTGAACTTAAAAGCTGTGTGAAACTTACCAGAGAATCTTTACTAGGAACTGTCACATCCATTTTGCAAGTATTTCAGACTAACGTTTAAAGTAAACTGGGAAGGGAAGTAGGCCAGGAAGATAAATTGTATTTTACTCAAAGGGTGGGGTTTTACAGCTTTTCTCATTGAGTTGAAATTTCTGTTAGGAGAAGGGGTTGTGCTAGCGTTTATTCTTTTGGTAGTTCCTCACAGCTCTGTACATACAGGTAAGTTCACGCTGTTCGTAAAGCTTTTAACTGGCAGTAGTGAATAGTTGGGATATGAGGAGAATTACATTTGAGACAAGTTCAGAATATGCACTACATAAGAATAAGCATTTTAATTGTGCCAAGACCTTTGGTTTGAAAATCAAGAAGGAGTTATCGTTGTCCAGCAACCTGTGAGTCTTGTACATTGGTTAGTGTAGAAGTTAATCCCAGTGCCTCTAGAGCACCTTTCTGAAGAGTTTTCTTTTTCTTCTTTTTAACATAATGGACAATCAACGAAGTATGTAAGAACCATTACTGTTTGCTAGCCTCCTTTAAAGGGAATTCTTTATTGAGGGCTACAATAAATATGCTTATTCACCTTGGGCTGCTTTTAAGCTGTAGATTTAATATTATAAACGATCTTTAAGGTGGGTAATTTCTCAGTTGTTCACTGGGTATGCATCAAGAGTTTTAACTAAATTTTCTATTTTCCTTAAATTCTAGAAAGCGAAATTATTATTGACGATGGACAATTTGGAATCCACAGTAAGTGAGACTGACTTACTTAAATGTTTACTGAAATGATTGAGATTGTTACTTTACATTTCACTGGAGTTATATAGCACAGGAAAATAGAACATACAGTCATGTGCTGCATAACGATATTTTGGTCAAAGACAGGCCACACGTGCAGCAGCAGTCTCATATGATTATAATGAAGCTGAAAAATTCCCTGTACTTACACAAACAACAATGAAATCGTCTAATGTGCATTTCTCAGAACTTATCTTCATTGTTAAGCAATGCATGACTGTAGTATGATTTTGAAAATAGAGACTGGATCCAAAAAACAAATCCCTACTGTTAAATAATTAGTTTCTAATATAATTGTTGCACTTTAAAATGTTATCCTTTTGGTTTTTATTTGACTAGCAATTTCAGGTATATGATGTTATATAATTAAAAGTGTGTAGTATACTGAACTGCTAATGTAGCCTTTTACCTCTTTTATGTTTGAAATTACATTAATGTTTCTAAATATCTAAAGTGTGAAATGTTACACTTAGGCTAAGTTTGTGTATTTTGTGTGTTTGTATATCTGCATATACAGTAAAATTCAGACTAACCAAAGAGTTCTAGTAATTCTGGCTGAATGTTTAAAAGTTAGTTTGAGATAGAGTAGAAAATGCTTTAACTTCTGAATATGTTGAAAATGTTATTTGTGTACTTTCTGTTTTAGTAAATACTATATCCTGAGAATTCTAATTTTCTTCAGTGACTGGAATTCTTACCCCCACCCGCCCAGGCTGGAGTGCAGTGGTGCAGTCTCGGCTCACTGCAGCCTCCGACCCTGAGGTTCAAGTGATACTCCTGCCTCAGGCTCCTGAGTAGCTGGGATTATAGGCGCCTGCTACCATGCCCAGCTAATTTTTGTATTTTTTTTTAGTATAGATGAGGTTTTGCCATGTTGGCCAGACTGGTGTCAAACTCCTGACCTCAAGTGATCCACCCACCTCAGCCTCCCAAAGTGCTAGGATTACAGGTGTGAGCCACTGCCCAGCTGGGTGACTGGAATTCTTTTTTTTTTTTTTTTTTTTTTTGAGATGGAGTTTTTGCACCTGTTGCCCAGGCTGGAGTGCGATGGCACAACCTTGGCTCACCGCACTCTCTGCCTCCCAGGTTCAAGCGATTCTCCTGTCTCAGCCTCCTGAGTAGCTTGGATTACAGGCATGCCCAGCTAATTTTGTATTTTTAGTAGAGACGGGGTTTCTCCATGTTGGTCAGGCTGGTCTTGAACTCCCGACTTCAGGTGATCCTCCTGCCTCAGCCTCTCAAAGTGCTGGGATTACAGGCGTGTGCCACCGCACCTGGCTGGAATTCTTACAGTGTATCAGGGCTATTATACTAAACTGCATTCTTTTTTTTTTTTTTTCTTTTGAGATGGAGTCTTGCTCTGTCACCCAGGCTGGAATGCAGTGGCGCAATCTCCGCTTGCTGCAGCCTCCACCTGCTGGGTTCAAGCAATTCTCCTGCCTCAGTCTGCTGAGTAGCTGGGACTATAGGTGAGTGTCATCACGCCTGGCTAATTTTTGTATTTTTAGTAGAGATGGGGTTTTGCTATATTGGTCAGGCTGGTCTCAAACTCCTGACCTCAAGTGATCTGCCTGCCTTGGCCTCCCAAAGTGTTGGGATTACAGGCGTAAGCCACCATGCCCAGCCTGCATCCTCATTTTGGATGCTGTACTGTAGGAGTCAAAAGGTGGAAAGCGGGTGGGCGGAATTGTGTTTGTACTGACTCTGAATCAGAGATAAATTGCTGATAACCAGTTTGCTTTCCTGCTAAGCACAGGAAAGAACAGGCCTGAATGTTTTGGTTGTGGTTTTTATTAGGTATATATGTTTATGTATGGTAGAAATGAACATGCTCTGGCAGTATTTAGATAGGAATTTGACATCTTTTCCTTGATTTTGTTTGGGATTGTTTATATTACATCAGAAAACAGTGTACAGTACTTGAATAGCTTTAGTGTTAAGTGTTTTGGAGTCTTTAGTACTTCATAAGTAATATTTACACTACATGTTTTGGAGTGCTTTATGGAGTAGTAGTTTTTTTTTTTTTTTTTTTTTTTTTTTTTTTTTGAGACGGGAGTCTCGCTCTGTCGCCCAGGCTGGAGTGCAGTGGCGCGATCTCGGCTCACTGCAAGCTCCGCCTCCCGGGTTCACGCCATTCTCCTGCCTCAGCCTCCCGAGTAGCTGGGACTACAGGCGCCCGCTACCACGCCCGGCTAATTTTTTTTGTATTTTTAGTAGAGACGGGGTTTCACCGTGTTAGCCAGGATGGTCTCGATCTCCTGACCTCGTGATCCGCCCGCCTCGGCCTCCCAAAGTGCTGGGATTACAGGCGTGAGCCACCGCGCCCGGCCTGGAGTAGTAGTTTTTGCTTGAGCTGTAATGCATGGTCTCACTTGTCTTTTCTGCAAAAAAAAAAAAAAAAAAAAAAAAAAAAAAAAAGTTAAAGTCCCACAATTATTAAGCATTCTTAAGTTAGGAGAGAATTTCTAAGGAGAGAAGTTTCTTGGTATTTATTTATTTTGACTCTGTTGATGAAAAAGCTTAGATCCAAAACAGTTGACAGCTTCTCTGGTATTTATGAACATTTTATTACCTATGTTAAGTAGGTGAGTAGCTTCAAGTTAATGCCAACAGTGTTGTCACGATCATGCAGTTTATTTATGGCAGAATATATAAATTTGAGAATATGGCTCTGACTCACAGTTCTGTTCTTACCTTCTGATATCTCACACCCCCGGCACTAGTGGCATAACTAGTTGCAGCTGAATATCTAAAGTGACGCTTTGGAAGTGTAACAGTGATCCCTAGTAGAACAATTGCTAGGTTAGATGCTATCTTGTACCATGTGCTCTTTCTGAAATAGATTTGTATTATTTTAGTCATGGATTCAATATGAATATTTTAATTTATTTGTGTTGTGACAGTATAGCTAATTATTAATATTCATTTAATTTTTCCCCCTACTTCATATAAAAGTTATATTTTAATGAAGAATTTAAGACTACCTGTATATTTGCTTTGGGGAGAAGAGTACCAGTGTTATGTAACCTCAATGTATTATTACAGTGTGAATGTGGGCAGGGTGAGGTGGCTCATGCCTGTAATACCAGCACTTTGGGAGGCCTGAGGAAGGCAGATCACTTGACGTCAGGAGTTTAGGAGTTTGAGACCAGCTTGGCCAGCATGGTGACACCCTGTCTCTACTAAAAATACAAGTCAGCTGGGCATGGTGGGCGCCTATAATCCCAGCTACTTGGGAGGCTGAGGCATGAGAATCTCTTGAACCTGGGAAGTGGAGTCTGCAGTGAGTTGAGATCGTGCCACTGCACTCTAGCCTGGGCAACAGAGCAAGACTCTATCTCAAAAAAAAAAAAAATGGAATTGATTCCTTTTAGATTTTTTTCAAAGATGATATTGATAGAACCAGGATCTTTTCTGAAGGTCTTTGGGATATGTATTCTAAATCTGCCTGTTCACAATGATTCATTATTTTGGGATTATTTTCTTTTTCTTTTTTTTTTTTTTTGTGAGATGGAGTCTCGCTCTGCCGCCCAGGCTGGAGTGCAGTGGTGCGATCTCGGCTCACTGCAAGCTCTGCCTCCTGGGTTCACGCCATTCTCCTGCCTCAGCCTCCCAAGCAGCTGGGACTACAGGCGCCCGCCACCACGCCCGGCTATTTTTTTTGTATTTGTAGTAGAGACGGGGCTTCACCGTGTTAGCCAGGATGGTCTCAATCTCCTGACTTCGTAATCCGCCTGCCTCGGCCTCCCAAAGTGCTGGGATTACAGGCGTGAGCCACCATGCCCGCCCGGCCTATTTTCATATTTAGAAAGGAAAAGTTAATTCTTTTTTTATTGTTATTCTAAAAATACTTATTTGCTGAAAGGATTGTTTTCCTTCAGATTTTTACCTTTGTCACCCTTGGTTTGCAATATGAACAACGGTTTAGGCAGGGGTTTAGGAAACAAATCATGGATTAGATCTCATTAAAAAATGTATTTCCTTTGGAGGTTAAAAAAAAAAAGTGAATGTGAACTAGAATTATCAATGCCTATAGGTACTTATTGTGTTGTTTAAAAAAACATGTATAATAATTACTGTTCTTCATATTTATTCTGTCAGATGGTGTTGAAACTCTGGATTCTGGATGGCTGACATGTCAGACTGAAATAAGATTACGTTTGCATTATTCTGAAAAACCTCCTGTGTCAATAACCAAGAAAAAATTAAAAAAATCTAGATTTAGGTATGACCATGTTTATGTGTTACTTAGGCTATTTGTTTTCACTAGTGCTGTAGATTTCAGACTCAATTGGTTTTAGCCTTTAAGTGTACAGTTTGGGATAATGTTACATATTCTAGTAACTACAGGGCTTTGTAATAGTGAACTACTTATCCCCGCTCAGATTGCTACTGTTGCAGTTAGTCTTAATTTCTACATGTAGAACCAGAAAACATTTGTTTATATAGATAAGTGGTTTTCTAAGCTTATGTATTTTTATAGTTTCTATTTAAATTTTCATAGTGTAGCAATAGTTTGTTGTAAAATTGATATAATGTGTCGGGCGTGTTGGCTCACGCCTGTAATCCCAGCACTTTGGGAGGCCAATGGGTGCAGTGGCTCACAACTGTAGTCCCAGCACTTTGGGAGGCCGAGGTGGGCAGATCACCTGAGGTCGGGAGTTCAAGACCAGACTGGCCAACATGGTGAAACCACGTCTCTACTAAAAATACAAAACTTAGCTGGGCATGCTGTTGGGCGCCTGTAATCCCAGCTGCTTGGGAGGCTGAGGCAGGAGAATCGCTTGAACCCGGAAGGCGGAAGTTGCAGTGAGCCGAGATCGCACCACTGCATTCCAGGCAGAGCGAGACTCTGTCTCAAAAAAAGAAAAAATTGATATAATGGAAATGATTGTCTGCTACATAAGAATGCCATAAAGAGAAAATATTTTTTGGAAGTATTCTTCAGTGTTCTAAATTTTATTGTGTCTTGAAAATGAAAAATTTTCCACACAGGAAAAAATTTTTGAATATTATATGTGTTTAATAATATATATATTTTTTCTTTTGAGAGAGGGTCTGGCCGTGTCACCCAGGTTGGAGTACAGTGGTGCAATCTCGGCTCACTGCAACCTCCACCTCTCACGCTCAAGTGATCCTCCCACCTCAGCCTCCCGAGTAGCTGGGACTACAGGCATGTGACACATGCCTGAATAATTTTTATATTTTTTGCAGATGGGGTTTCACCATGTTGCCTAGGCTGGTCTCAGACTTCTGAGCTCAAGCAATCCTCCCGCGTCAGCTTCCCAAAGTTCTGGGATTACAGGCGTGAGCCACTGGCCCAGCCCTAGATTTATTTATTTTTTTTTAATGAAAGAATCAACAACCTTAGTAGGCATAATGGTCATTTATCCCATTTTAATACTTTGCAAAAATATGTGTAGATAATAACATCAGTATTTTATAAAACACACCTAATTCCTTAACCTGTAGTATGTGTAATCTTTGCATAATACATTATTTTTGTTATTCGAAGATTTAGCATATTTGGGGGCACTTTAAAATGTAGAATTTAGGCAACATTTGTATGAGTTTTTCTTTTCTGCCACTTCTTGCATCTCATTATTTTGTTTATTACGTAGGGTGAAGCTGACACTAGAAGGCCTGGAGGAAGATGACGATGATAGGGTATCTCCCACTGTACTCCACAAAATGTCCAATAGCTTGGAGATATCCTTAATAAGCGACAATGAGTTCAAGTGCAGGCATTCACAGCCGGAGTGTGGTTATGGCTTGCAGCCTGATCGTTGGACAGAGTACAGCATACAGACGATGGAACCAGATAACCTGGAACTAATCTTTGATTTTTTCGAAGTGAGTAGTTACTGCAGTGAGGGGATTGAGAAAGAATGCAGGGACAAGCTTATTTTAACGTTGGTTTTGATTTTCATTTTAATCTAATTTGTGTAAAGCTAACTTTTTAGAGGTATGCTCTTCTGTACAGTTAAGCTTAAAAAACTTAGAGTTGTCATCTTCAAGTACTATTAAGAATATAATTAAGAGAACAGCAGTATTGATGTTTCCAATCAAGACCAGATGTCTTTGATGCCTGTATGCTAAATAATCTAAATGTAAATGAATTGTATCCAAAGGAAACATCAGTGGTAAATAGAGACCAGGGCAGGCTTTGTACCTCTTGGCGGGCATCCCGATGTAACAAGCGTGATTGAGTTCTCACTATGATGGAAGCCTGTCATTTATTGAGGTACTTTATTAGGATTTGTTGATGGGACTGACTTGCAACTTGATATTGTAAATATGTAATGAAATTATAAAGCTTGTGCCAGGTTATTGACAATCTGTGCTGCTAACTTTCTGGAGCTACATGTGATACTTACACTAGTGCTTGTAGACCACTGGCTGTTCATATTTCCCCAACACATAATACTTGGTACATCCCCTAAGGTCCTTACTGCTGTGGGCCTGGCTCGGTAGTGGTATGTAGTGGTTTCCTTACCCTCTAGCTCCACCTCCACACCCATTTATACTAGATTAGAGTTTAAATCTTGGAGGGTAGGGAATATGTCTTGACCACCAGTAGCCCCCAGCCAGTTTCTTGAGAACAACAGAATTCAGAATGGATTTAAAAAAATCTAATCCAGTAAGCAGTAAGATCTGTGGGACTCTATTATAAAAGTATGAAATTTTGATGACTTCTTTCTTTCTTTTTCTTTCCTTTCTTCTTTTCCTTTTTTTTTTTTTTCTGGAGAGAGGGTCTTGCTCTGTTGCGCAGTCTGGAGTATAGTGACATGATCAGGGCTCACTGCAGCCTCAATCTCCTGGGTGCAAGTGATCCTCATGCCTCAGCCTCTCAAGTAGCTGGGACTACAGGTGTGTACCACCACACCCAGCTAATTTAAAAAAAACGTTTTTGGCCGGGCGCGGTGGCTCATGCTTGTAATCCCAGCACTTTGGGAGGCCAAAGCAGGCGGATCACGAGGTCAAGAGTAAGAATACAAAAATTAGCCAGGCGTGTTGGCGCGTGACTGTAATCCCAGCTACTCGAGAGGCTGAGGCAGGAGAATTGCTTGAACCTGGGAGGCGGAGGTTGCAGTGAGCCAAGATCACACCACTGCACTCCAGCCTGAGTGACAGAGCAAGACTCCATCTCAGAAAAAAAAAAAAAAACAAAAAAAAAAACAACTTTTTTTTTGTTGTTGAGATGGGGTCTTTGTTGCCCAGGCTGGTCTTGAACTCCTGGGCTCAAGCGATCCTCCTGCCTCGGCCCCTCAAAGTGCTGAGATTGCAGGTGTGAGCCTCTGCTCCTGGCCTGAACATTTTCTTGTTGCTTCCTTTTAATAAACCTACCTTTTAATAAATTATATCTTGAATGTCCTACCTTCCCTTTACTTTGTTTAACATTTTTTGTAATAGTGTTTTGTTCATAGACTAGGCTGATAAAATATCCAGTGTAATCTCAAAGTGAGTATAGTATTTGGTTTCCTAGAGAGTTCCTATCCCATGTGACACTTGTGTAGAAACATTTTTAGAGAATATGTTAAAAATTCACTACAAATATATCTTAGTCTTACAACAACATAAAAGTGATTAGAAATTTTCGAGCAGTGCTTATACTGAATGAGACTCTCTCAAAAAAATATATATTTTAAAATGTACAAAGAAAATGTATTTAATCATAGAGAAGCCATCAAGTCACATGAATATAAATTTGATTGTATCTCTTATCAGTTCTACCCCAGAGATTCTCAGTTGACTTTGTGAGCTTTTTGATCTTTAAATTGAAAATGTTGAATTTTTTTTTTTTTTTTTTTTTGAGATGGAGTGTTGCTCTGTTGTCCAGGCTGGAGTGCAGTGGTACGATCTCAGCTTACCACAGCCTCCACCTCCCGGGTTCAAGTGTTTCTCCTGCATTAGCCTCCCGAGTAGCTGGGACTACTGGCATGCGCCACCATCCCCGGCTAATTTTTTGTATTTTTAGTAGAAACGGGGTTTCACTATGTTAGCCAGACTAGTATCAAACTCCTGACCTTGTGATCTGCCTGCGTCAGCATCCCAAAGTGCTGGGATTACAGACGTGAGCCACTGACCCCGGCCGAAAATACTGAAGTTTTTATGAAAAAAAAAATATATATATACACATTTCATATATAGGAGATATGTGTGTGTGTGTCTGTGTGTGTGTGTGTGTGTGTATATGTATGTATGTAATGTAGAAGTTTAAAAATTAAGATTATTTTAAATCTCATTTTTTCAGGAAGATCTCAGTGAGCACGTAGTTCAGGGTGATGCCCTTCCTGGACATGTGGGTACAGCTTGTCTCTTATCATCCACCATTGCTGAGAGTGGAAAGAGTGCTGGAATTCTTACTCTTCCCATCATGAGCAGAAATTCCCGGAAAACAATAGGCAAAGTGAGAGGTAAGGTTGAAGACACTGCCAAATAACCCAAGGTTAAGTTAGAATTTTAATTAGTTTCAAATTAAGTATTTGATAATGATAAAGATGAAATTAATAATTTGCTTTAGTATCAATTTAAGGAGCATGTCTGTTACATTTTGAATCTTGTTTTTTTTTCCGTTTGACAGAAACTGATAAAGCTGACTTGAGTGGTATTTAAATATAATGTAGCTCATAATGGCCCTTTTAATCATTTTTATTTTTGTTCCTCCCTCTTTTTTCCTATGAAAGTTGACTATATAATTATTAAGCCATTACCAGGATACAGTTGTGACATGAAATCTTCATTTTCCAAGTATTGGAAGCCAAGAATACCATTGGATGTTGGCCATCGAGGTGCAGGAAACTCTACAACAACTGCCCAGTAAGTTGAATATTTGAGTAGGATTAGCATTTGGTGTAGCTTATGTTCGGTAGAGTTACACTGGTTTTCTCAGCAAAGGTCAAATGATGTTTTTATTATTTACCAAGGGAATTTAGTGTAATTTGGTAATTGGGGTTAGAGACCAACCTTAAGATTCTGGTCAGTTTTTTAATATATCTACTGAATTGATAAGGAGGAAGACATTAAAAGTAGAAAGGCAGGAAGGAAAGCTTGGTGCAGAAAGCTTTGGGAGCATCAGTGTGTGTGTCTGTGTCATGGTCCTTACTTTTGACGTGTTGCCCTCTCTGAGTCTGAGTT
Source organism: Homo sapiens (assembly GCF_000001405.40). NCBI lineage: Eukaryota > Metazoa > Chordata > Mammalia > Primates > Hominidae > Homo > Homo sapiens. Next base: position 5,575,094 of record NC_000020.11, on the reverse strand, counting down.
TCCGCATCTATAAAATGCAAAGATTTGGACAACATTATCCCAAGTCTAGAAAAGTGTGACTAAACTCAAGGAATATTAGTTAACTTGGACCTCAACGAAAGATGCTCTGTCTTCTCAACAGACATTAGATTGTAGCCTGGAATAGTTGTCTTCCCCTTCTACTTTTGTAAGTTTATTTAATTACCAGTGCGATAGCTCATGCCACAGATTTTCTACTGTAAATTTTAATCCCTCCCCATTTTATTTTAAAGTGATGCTGTGGAGATCATTAGGATTTTTTAATTTTAAGGTCTATAAAAAAATAACTATTTAAGGAAGAAGCACCCTCACCTGCCCCCACCTTTTTTATTTGTTTGTTTTTGAGACAGAGTCTCTGTCGTTCAGGCTGGAGTGCAGTGGCACATTCTTGGCTCACTGCAGCCTTAATTTCCGGAGCTCAAGCCATTCTCCCACCTCAGTCTCCCCAGTGTCTGGAACCACAGGCACGTGGTACCATGCCCAGCTATTTTTTTGGTATTTTTCTGTAGAGACCGGGTCTCACCTTGTTGCCCAGGCCAGTCTTGAACTCCTGAGCTCAAGTGATCTGCCTGCCTCAGCCTCCCAAAGTGCTGGGGTTACAGGCGTGAGCCACCGCAACTTCTCAGGCCCCATCTTAAACAATACATTTTCCCCCTTTCTGTTCTTATTATGAATAGAGTTTCCATACTTCTATCCTGTGTGTGTGTCAGTTGTTTCTCATTCCCCCACAGTCTGCCAGTATTAAGTCCTTTGGAGGCTGTATTGCAAGGAGCAGGTTTCTATGTCTCTATTTCTTCTGCCATTGAAAAGGATTGTTTTTATTGATCACTTTACATGTCTCCAAGAAAAAAGTCCATGGTACAAGGCAAGTGCATGTTGTGTTGGCCATGTCGGTATTCAGCTTGTAAATATCTATCATTGTCAGAGCTTGCATTTAAGGAATAAATTCCTAGTCACAGCCATAGTCATATTTTGGGGATGTCAAAACTGGCCTCAGAATACAGAATAAGTACCATTTCCCATTGTTGAAAGTACACTTTGCTTCTTTATTACATTTGTTTCTTTATCTTCTCTATAGTCTATGTTAACTGTATTTCTTCTTTTCAGGCTGGCTAAAGTTCAAGAAAATACTATTGCTTCTTTAAGAAATGCTGCTAGTCATGTAAGTAACCTTTAAACAACTTTAGACTGCTGAGGTAGAGAAATATGGATCAGGGAGTCTCCTCCAGTTTTTATTAATAGTTAGGGGAATATCTCTTGGCATTTATATTCAGATCCATGGTGAAGATCGGAATGAAGACAATAGAACCATAAGCATCTTTTCTTTTTTTTTGAGACAGGGTCTTGTTCTGTCACCTGGGCCTGGAATGCAGTGGTGCGAACATGGCTCACTGCAGCCTCAACCTCCTGGGCTCAGGCATTCCTCCCACCTCAGCCTCCGTAGTAGTGGGACTAGAGGCATGTGCCACCATGCCTGGCTAATTTTTAAATTTTTTTCTCTTTTGTAGATTCAGGGTCTCACTATGTTGCTCAGGCTTGTTTCAAACTCCTGGGCTCAAATCTTTCTAAAGGCATTTTTTCCAAAGTGAGTATCTGAATAAGCACATTATTCAGGTAGTGAAAACCAATGCTTAGTGGGAACTTTCTTTTGTCTCAATTACTCAAAATTTATTATCTCAAAAAAGAATGCTGGCTGGGCACAGTGGCTGATGCCTGTAATCCCAGCACTTTGGGAGGCCGAGATGGGCAGATCACCTGAGGTTGGGAGTTCAAGACCAGCCTGGCCAACATGGTGAAACCCAGCCTGTACTAAAAATACAAAAAATTAACCTGGCATGGTGGCCCGCGCCTGTTATCCCAGCTACTTGGGAGACTGAGGCAATTCAAGAATTGCTTGAATCTGGGAGGTGGAGGTTGCTGTGAGCTGAGATCATGCCACCGTTTTCCAGCCTGGATGACAGAGTGAGACTCAGTCTCAAAAAAAAAAAAAGAAGGAAAGATTTGATGGTGATTTTATGTAACACTTGAAAGAAGTGTATCAGCTGAGTGTGGTGGCTCATACCTATAGTCCCACCTACTTGGGAGTCTGAGGCTGGAGCTTTGCTGGAGCCCAGGAGTTTGAGGCTACAATGAGCTATGATCCGTCCAGTGCACTCCAGCCTGGGTGACAGAATTGGACTCTATCTCTTTTAAAAAATAAATAAATAAAAAAGTATCAGTTTCCACCCTTGCATACCAACTTGTCTTCCTTAACTCCTTATTTTTTTTTTTAATCCAGTTAGAGTCTGTTTTTTAGCTGTTAGTATTTTCAGCAACTGCAACTTGGACATTTTTAATCAATAACCTGAGATTTTTCTCCCCTATTCCTCTGTACTTGTCTGGACCGCCTCACATTCCAAAGTGAAACTAGGGGGAAAATGGAGGAACATCTCATTTTTTAATTTCCACTTTTTCCACAGTGTACTCCATATGCCCTCAACTTTGCCTTGTAAAAAATAGTTCGGGAAGTAAACTTGGTTAGTCAGTGTTTAGCTTTATTACTTATATGAACTAACATCTATTCTAAGGTGTACTTTTAAAATATTTTAGCCTCTTGGAAATTGGAATGGGTTTACAACTTAGCTTTGAGTCATAATTTAATTGACAGCTTATTTCCCCCTCTTAGTGGTATATAAAATAATGCATTTTAAAATTCATGACATCTTGAATTGATCATAATTTTAATGTTTAAAATGTTAGTAGATTGTTTTATCTTTCTGTTGAAAATATGATATTTATTAATATTATTAGGCTATAGTTTATAATTAATTTGGAACCAGTTTTACTGTCATAGCTAGTCTAAACATCATTTCATTAGCTATAAACGTGATGGCTTCGTCACCCAGGCTGGAGTGCAGTGGCAGGATCATAGCTCACTATAGCCTCAACCTCCTGGGCTCAAATGATCCTCCTGCTTTGGCCTCTCAAGTAGCTGGGACCACAGGCATGTGTCATCATACCTGGCTAATTGTTGTATTTTTTGTAGAGACGGGATCTCACTATGTTGCTCAGACTGGTTTCGAACTTGTGGGCTCAAGCGATCCCCTCACTTGGCCTCCCTAAGTGCTAAGATTACAGGCATGAACCATCATGCCGGTGTGATGACCCTGTTAAATTTTTTTTTTTTTTGAGATGGAGTTTTGTTCTGTCACTCAGGCTGGAGTGCAGTGGCATGATCTTGGTTCACTGCAACCTCCACCTCCTAGGTTCAAGCGATTCTCCAGTTTCAGCCTCCCGAGTAGCTGAGATTACAGGCGTTTGCCACCATGCCCAGCTAATTTTTGTAATTTTAGTAGAGATGGGGTTTCGCCATGTTGGCCAGGCTGGTCTTGAACTTCTTACCTCAGGTGATCTGACTGCCTCAGCCTCCCAAAGTGCTGGCATTATAGGCGTGAGCCACTGCACCCTGCCAATAATTTTTAGATATGTGCTTTTTGAGAGAGGATTTCATTAAGCCTTTTTCTTCCATATTCTAATGAAATCCTTTATAACTCACAGGGATCACATTTTCAGATGTGTTATTTTAATTATTATTGGCTTATTTTAATGTTAAATACATATCTATGAAGATGTTTCGGTCTGTTATTGGCTTATTACTTAAACCTCATGATGAATTTTGGGATTAAGTTTTGTCTTCTACTAAAATTATTTTCTATAAGGATTATGGTTGTCTAAAACCAAAAAAATTAGAAAGCTACAACTTAAAATGTTTAATAGTTAGAACTACTTGGGAATGGTAGGGTTTGTCCTCTTTGGTAGAAAGGGTTTTGGTATTGTCTTGTTTAAAATAAGAGGTGCTAAGTTTCCCGCTTCGGAAGTCTGCAAGGAAGTAGGCTTCCTCGCCAGACTCTTGAACTCCTTTGACTCTAGTCTGTGATCCATGTGTATTCCCAAGTTGAGTTCTACCCCTTGACAATTTAGAGCCAGTGTAAGGGGTAGAAATGCACCCATCTTTTCAGTAAAGTAGTGTTACAGAATTTTCAAACCTTGCTTCCTTCTATCGCAGCTGGCCTTTCAGAAAAGGTACATATTTGTATGTCAGTTTATGACATACAGACTTTAACTGAATTAATTCATAGGGGTGAGTGGATCTGCCTTTTTCTTTCTTTCTTTCTTTTTTTCTTTAAATTAATTTCAGTCCTGCTCCTTCTGTGTGGATCTGCTTTTTAGAAATTTGGCTTTAACTATAATTCATGTCTTCCTCATTTGTTTGGCTTTCATTAGGAAACCGGACATGAGCATCATCTTTTTCCTGTTTCTGTTGTCTCTGTCTGTTCATCAGCAGTTATGGCTTCCTCTTTCATTCCGTACTGACATTTTGCTGAGAAAGGCTGTACAGTGGACTGCTCAGGTGCCCTAAGGAGCCGAGCTAAGGCACTTTGCAGCTTATTCCTTCCCTCACTGAATCTTTCATGTTAGCTGTGCAGCTAAGGTTTGCAGGGGCAGTGGGCAGCAATGTGTGGGATCCCTGAGCTTGGGGCTTTTGTTGGGTTCCTTTTCTGCCAATAGCAGTTGCAGAAGTAACAGCCCCGAAGGCTGTCTCACTGCCACTGCGGTGCCTCTGAGTGTTTTGAAGTGAATCTGTGTCCGTTTTTTTTTTTTTTTTTTTTTGCCAGGAAAAAGTAGCTGTGCTTTTGCAAAAGAGAAAACCCATTGTTTTAAGAGAATACATTACTTTTTAGAAAAAGTTTGTACAGGTCTGTAATTTTATAGTGAACAAAAATTTCTTACGTTCTTGCAGTTTGAGAGGTACTGTGTACCAGGCAATGTTTTTCAAATACTTGCTTCCTTCTGTCAGGGTGCAGCCTTTGTAGAATTTGACGTACACCTTTCAAAGGACTTTGTGCCCGTGGTATATCATGATCTTACCTGTTGTTTGACTATGAAAAAGGTACGTTGAAATTTCTTCATTTCAAACTCTTAATGTTAAGTAAAAGGTTTAAAAACTAGGAAGTTTTTTTATATTTTTAATTACTTATTAAATAGAATTGGTTAATTCATTTTCTTGGTGAATTACTGCCAGTCCTTCCCTCTCATGCTCTTGCAACATTGAGACAGTGATGAGTTGGGAATACTGCCTTCCTAGAGTAGGGTCTCTATTGCTGAAAATACTTTATTATGTTACAAAAAAGGGACATTCCAGGTGGTTTCTGTAGCGGTCTGTCTATGCTACTATATTGAGGCAAGAGAGGAAGATATCATAGTGTTTGTTTTCTAGGATTCCAGCTGTTTCTGCTTCAAGCTTCTTCAATTAATAAGGCTAGTGAGCCACAGTGAAAAATTCAAAAAGAGGTTTGGAGTTAGATGGTGGAGGGCCTCAGTGAAGAGGTTTAGACTCAAGAACTAGGGGGGTAGGAAATACTTTTTAGCTGAAAAGGGAAATGTTCAAGACTAATGTTTTGGTAGCTGATGAAATAGGAATTTCAGAGGACAGAGACTGCAGGCAGGGCGAGCAGCAATGTGGGCTACAGGAAAGGTAAGCCTGAATTGGAGTAGGGGACCAGAAGAATGGAGAAGAGGGCATAATGGCGGGGGGGGATCCAGAATGAGATTTAAAAACTTACATAGCTGTAAAAAAACTGTAATTGTTTTTGTACAAACATAATCATGATAATGATATAGTCCCTAAACGTCAGTATACTATGTAACCAAGTGATTTCTCGGGGACTTAGACTCTAAAACTGTGTTGGGTATTAATTTCCAACTGAGTTGATTTAAAGTTAGTCTAGTTGGCTAGCATCACTGTACCAGATACTGTCTGTTGTATTAAAGAGTGTGACAAAGACCCTGGCACCACCTGCTGGTGAATTTTAATCAGAGTTCCTAGGGGTTGGATTATTATGATGTATATATTATGTATAGGAAAGGACCCTTTTGTTTCTGCGAAATGGTATTAGGAGAAAGAAGGAAGAAAGGAAGGAAGGGGAGGGGAGGGGAGGAAGGGAGGAAAGGAAGGAGGTGCATCTATTCAGATTACATGAGTAGAGTGACCAAACACATGGAACAGGTTGTTTTAGTCATGGAAGAACATTAATGAAAAGATAAATGAGAAAGAGTGAAGTGATAAATGATCTTATTAGCCAAGATTGAGATTAATTGATCTAGCTGCAATTTATTTATTTATTTATTTGAGACCGAGTCTCGCTCTGTTGCCTAGGCTGGAGTGCAGTGATGTGATCTTGGCTCAACCTCCACCTCCTGGGTTCAAGCGATTCTCCTGCCTCAGCCTCCTAAGTAGCTAGGACTGCAGACTCCTAAGTAGCTGGACCAAGCCCAACTAATTTTTGTATTTTTTAGTAGAGACGGGGCTTCACCATGTTGGCCAGGCTGGTCTCAAACTCTTGACCTCAGGTGATCCGCCCATCTCAGCCTCCCAAAGTGCTGGGATTACAGATGTGAGCCACTGCACCCGGCCAAGCTACAGTTTACTTCTGAAAATCAATGAGAGTTCAAATATTACTAATGCCCCATTTTCACCAGGCTATATCTTGATCTGAAGTTGAACCTGAATGAGTTAATTGAGAAATGAAAGCAATGAACTTTTATACTGAATTTTGATTTTTAAGCTGGTGTTTTTCTTATAAAAACAATTCATCTTCATTAGAAAAAAAAAAAGTATTTCAGAAGATTATGAAATGAGAAATAAATCTTTCCTGTTTTTCCTTGTTCTTACTGTCTTACTTTTAATAGTTTCTTGTGTATTCCAGAAAAACTTTATGCATGTACAGGTTCATACCAATGCATATGAATGAATATATATGTGATGGATTTTAGTATATATATATACTAAGTATATATATATATATACTAAGTATATTTGTTGGACAGATGATTTATTGGTGATACCTTAATTCATTTCCTGTAGAAGTGCCTTCAACAGAGTGACATTGATCATTTGATAGACATTAAAACCTAATACAACAGATTTGCTTGTGGGGGAAACATGGTAGCTCAGAGTGCTTAAGTATTATGGTTTATAGCTAATCAGACAATTTTTTCATGACATTTGGTGTGTCTGCTGTTTTTAATCAGATGTTTAAAAGTCTTCGAAAAGATTAGAAACTTACAGAAATAAATTTTATATAGTACTTTCATATTGATTTCTAGTCACGTAGTATGGATAAGTATCAAAGAAAATGTATAGACAGCATAACAGGAAGTAGGGGAGATGACTGACTTCTGGTTCTATCCTCAGCTGTCTTCAGCGCTACAGCTTTCTGCCAGCTGCATTTTCCTTCCAGGTATTCTACACTGCAATAAAAATGAAAGCCAGAATATAAGGGCTGGGAGGTGGTGTTAGGTTAGAAGGGCTGTCCTGCATGGGCTCAGTATGGCTACTAACAGTTATTCTCATTGTTGAGTAAATAGAGTTGCTAGGCCTGTCTAGTGTAAGCATTCAGTAATAATTTAGGGCTTACTTTTCTCTTAATTTTCTTTATTCTTTCTTTTTCTTTCTTTCTTTTTTTTTTTTTTTTAGAAATTTGATGCTGATCCAGTTGAATTATTTGAAATTCCAGTAAAAGAATTAACATTTGACCAACTCCAGTTGTTAAAGGTAGTAATAATAACATGAAATGTAAATTATCCCTTAGCTTTAGGACTATTGTACTTGCTTGTATATGGTTATGTTCTCTTTGCACATGGGGATGACTGTTAAATTTAATGTGTAGACTATGTGCTTTGGTATTCTGTTCTGTTTGGGAGAAGGGTTCTGTATCGATCCAGCTGTCTTCTCCAACCATTTCCATGGACCCCACTGGTTTTTGTATTTATGAAGGAACGAACTAGACCATAAGTTTTTGTAGGCCATAGTGGCTAGCCCTTCTCATTCATAATCTTTAGGTTGCTTCTGTTCTGCAGTAGCCCTTCTTCATATAATGGTCATTATTTTACAATAGGCCTTTTATGCAATAGTTGGTAAATATATGTTAATTTCCAATACCTTTGAATATTTTGTATCATGTAATTTTACATGGTACCTCTTCCTGTCCCTATTAGGAACCTAAATAAATGCATGATTCCCTATTAACAGTTATCTAGTGAAGAATTTTTATATTCTTCCCTAATTGAGTATTTGATCATTATCTTAAATGTGTATGCACATATAAAATATATATAGTGGCTAGTGCTTATTCTTATTAAACTGATAGTTCTACGTTTTATAGGCTTTTTTATCTTGCTAGTTTTTCAGGATATTTTCTGTTAACCATCTCTTCATAAGCTAAGGCTTCCTTTCTGATTTCATTTTGTTTGTGTGCTTTCTAGCTCACTCATGTGACTGCACTGAAATCTAAGGATCGGAAAGGTATGTACCAATATGGAAACACTGTTTTCCTTTTGTAGTTAGCATTAATAGGATTTTTAAAATCGATTTTAGCACATACTTGATACTTGGTCATTTTTATGAGTATAATACTGGGCCTTCTAAATGTAATTTTATAGTTCGGAAATGAATTTGCATTTGTTTTCTACTAAATATATATCATGTGTATAGTAACCATTGCATTGCTTTTCTTAGCTTGATGATCAAAGTGTTAATACTTATCAATCTTTCCAAACATTCTTAACCATTACAAAGTAGAAAGTAAATCAACTATAGAATCCGGCTACAGGGTCAATTTGAACCAGCTCTTCATTTACCTGTTATGACCGTGGGCAAGCTTTGTCCTGCCTACCACATCCCTTTATAATTTCACTTCACTTTTCTACTCCCATAGAAATTAATGGCTGTGCCATTCATATGAGGCTTATTGTATTCATTTTAAATCCTTTATTTTCATATATGTCCTGTCTTTTCAACTAGAGTGTTAGCCCCTCAGGGGTAGGAAAATGTTTTTATATTCCCAGAGACTGATGGTGCTGTACATATAGTAGGTGTACTATAGATATAGGTGTTTATCTGTAATTGTGATAACCATACAGTTTTAATATCTTTATAAAGATTGTGAAGTGCTTAAGACCAAAGATTATCCCCACCCAGAGCATAAACGTAACTATATAGGCTTATAGATATTTTATGAGTCTTAGTAATAAAATGAATTTTACCTTTAGTTTATTCTGCTGGAAAATTATACATGATTTTGTCTTTGAATTTGTAATACAGGTTTTGTATGTGTGTTTTTAAGAAAAACTTGATATTTTAATTTTTTCCACTTTTGGAAAATAATTCTTTTTTTTAGTCTATATTGATTAATTGATAATAACAAAAGCACAATAGTTGCTGTATATTCTCTTAATTTGTAATTTCTGAGCTGATTTTAGTATTTCAAATAGTAGTCTTAGCAAAATCACACAACTCTTAATTCTCTGGAGAAATAGCAAAATCACAGCTTGTGACTACTTTTTAAAGAGTAGTACTTTAGTACAAATTTTATAAGAAAATAATCACTCTTGGGTCTACAGACTGGTGTCTATTAATCGTTGCAAACTGGTTTTCATGATGCTTATTTAGAAAATGGGTTTTTGATGTTTAATACATACAAGAGCCTTTAAAAAATACTATATATAGGGGCTGGACACGGTGGCTCACTCCTGTAATCCCAGCAGTTTTGGAAGCCAAGTTGGGAGAATTGCTTGAGGCCAGGAGTTCAAGATCAGCCTGAGCAACTAGACCTCATTTCTACAAAAAAATTTTTAAAATGAGCTGGATGTGGTAGTGCATGTCTATGGGCATAGCTACTCGGGAGTCTGAGGCTGGAGGATCAATGCTTGAGCCTGCTTGAGTTTGAGGCTACATTGAGCAATGATCATTCCACTGTGTTCCAGCCTAGATGACAGAGTGAGACCCTACCTCTATTAAAAAAAAAAAAAGGGATCTCAGAGTTACTTATGCTCTCGCGCTTGCTCACACACACACTCTCTCTCTCTTTCCCTGTTTTTTTTGGCACTAAGGATTTAAGAAAGCTCTTAGTGATATAGTGGCATTTTATTTACTGAGATTTTGTGTTTTAAAATTTCAGAATCTGTGGTTCAGGAGGAAAATTCCTTTTCAGAAAATCAGCCATTTCCTTCTCTTAAGATGGTAAGTTATTGAGGAAAACCAAGGCAAGGCTATCATTAACTTTGTCATGTATGAATAATTTACTTTTGTTTCTTAAAAGGATCCTAAAAAGGCTGTGTTAAAGACAATGTTAATATGAATTTATCATCATTGGTGCCTTTTAGAGAAGATACTTTGTGTGTTTGTGTGTGTGTGTGTGAGTGACAATCCCACTTTGACATCTAGGCTGAGTGCAGTGGCGTGATCAGGGCTCACTGCAGCCTCAACTTCCTTGGCTCAAGCGATCCTCCCACCTCACTCAGTCTCTCAAATAGCTGGAACTGCAGTTGTGCACCACCATGCCTGGCTAATTTTTTTATTTTTTTGTAGAGATGGTCTCACCTTGTTGCGCAGGCTGGTCTCAAGGGAATTCAAACCTCTGGACTTACGCTGTCCCCCAGCCTCAGCCTCCCCAAGGGTTGAGAATACAGGCATGAGCCAACACACCCAGCCAATAAGATTCATTCTTGTGTAGTATACTTGTGCTACTTTTTTTCTTTCCCCAAGAGTAACTTCTATTCAAATAAATAAAAATTCCCATCTCAGTATGGTAATTTGGTAAGAGTAGCAAATCCATATATTTCTGTTTATAAATGGGAAGGAGAGGGCACAGGTATAGGAGTTAGAGAAAGGTGATGGTGGGAGAGGCAGTTTTTGGTTTTTTTTTTTTAACAATATTTTAAACTGTTCCTTAGTTTTGAGAGGGAAGCGAGTTTCTTCAACCAAAGAAAATAAGTGCCCCTCTTACTTAAGATGATATTGAAATTTCAGAAATTCACTCTGAAAAAATAGATCTTCACACAAAAACTAGCATGAAGACTTAAAAACTAGATACAATTTAATACGGGAACACCCTTGACAGCATCAGGAAAGCCCACACAGATGCCAAGGAGATGCTGGCTCTGCTTTTGTTCCACCGACTCCAGTTTCTAAATTCTGGTCTTTCTCGTTGTCTTTTTCTGCTCGTGTCAGGTATAGTAGATTTCTTAGGCAAAAATAGGTAGTTTTAGTTTACTATTATGTGGAAATTCTTATTTGGGGAGTGGAGCTTATTAGCTTAATGGGTTTTATCTACTGTATTAGCTACTTGCTAACACGTGCATGGAAATGTGTGTGTGATTTAGAAAGGAGAGAAGTGACCATAATGAAGATTTTGTTAAAATATTTAGGTATGTATTTCTTGAGGGGTTCATAAAACAATCTAAATCATTAAAATCTCAGTGGTTAAAGGTAAATTAAGTATTGATTATTCATTCTGCAAAAAGGATGCTAAAAGAGAGCCCCTGCAATGAACATTATCCTAGTGCATTTAAAACATCATTTTTGGCGGGACATGGTGGCTCATTCCTGTAATCCCAGCACTTTGGGAGGCCAGGGCAGGCAGACAGTTTAAGCTCAGGAGGTTGAGGCTGCAGTGAGCTGTGATTGTGCCACTGCACTCCAGCCTGGGCAACAGAGAGAGATCCTGTCTCAAAAATAAATAAATAAGTAAAATGTAATTTGTATAACTTTTAAGGTACTTATGAAGCCCATCTAAGTAAGATCATTTCTTCTAATTCAATTTTCTAAAATCATTTGTGTTTTAGAAATCTCATGATTCCCAGGAAAAAAATTTTAAATTGTGATACAGGTTTGACAGCCTTTTAGTCAAATAAGTTAAAACACACACGCAAACTCATTTACTCACTTTGCCATTATAATTCAATCACAAAGAAATTTTGGCCAGGCGTGGTGGCTTACGCCTGTAATCCCAGCACTTTGGGAGGCCGAGGCAGGTGGATCACGAGGTCAGGGGATCAAGATCATCCTGGCTAACATGTGAAACCCCGTCTCTATTAAAAATAAAAAATTAGCCTGGTGTGGTGGCGGGTGCCTGTAGTCCCAGCTACTCGGGAGGCTGAGGCAGCAGAATGGCGTGAACTCAGGAGGCGGAGCTTGCAGTGAGCCGAGATCGCGCCACTGCACTCCAGCCTGGATGACAGAGCGAGACTCCGTCTCAAAAAAAAAAAAAAGAAATTTTAACGCCAAAATAATACCAAATATAATCTCATTATATAGACACTTTTCTGGCAAATTTGCCTTTTAGCAATCTCAACACTAATATATTGTCCTAGTCTTTCTCATTTTGCATTAGTCCAGCAAAAATATGACAGATACGTTAAATAAGTCTTTAGATATAGGAGAAAATTAAAAAAGTCCCACACAAAATTGAATACAAACTGTTTTAGATGCTGTACTTTACATGCAGCTGGTTAAGAGTAGGCCCAGAGCTAGATGCCAGGTCACCAGACTCCTGGGCTGTGTTCTTACCACTATATTATTCTGTTTGTATGCATTTATTTGCTGTTAAAAATTAAATACCATATGTGCTATACATGTTCTTTGATACCTAAAATTTTGAAGTATCTAAAATAATCTGCCGGGCACAGTGGCTCACGCCTGTAATCCCAGCACTTCTGGAGGCCAAGGCAGGTGGATCACCTGAGGTCAGGAGTTTCAGACTGGCCTAGTCAACATGGTGAAACCCATCACTACTAAAATACAAAAAATTAGCCAGGCGTGGTGGCAGGCACCTGTAATCCCAGCTACTTGGGAGGCTGAGGCAGGAGAATTGCTTGAACCCCAGAGGTGGAGGTTGCAGTGAACTGAGATTGTGCCACTGTGCTCCAGCCTGGGTGACAGAGTGAGACTATGCCTCAAAAATAATAATAATATAACATAATCTCTGTCAAATTCATTTTGCCCTGAGCATATTTATGTATATGTCTGGGCTTCATGTTTGTTTAAGACTGAACAAGTCCGTTCTTTGGAGGTTACTAACCAAGTTTCATATTTTCAATGTCATTTTCTAGTTAAAACTGCCAAAATAATCTGATGGCAAAGTGTCTAGATAATTTAGTTTAGATACACTGATAGCATTTGTCATTTATATAAATTATAACTTTTTTGATTTATGAGCTGTAGCATAATGTTTTCATTTTGGGGATACATCTTTTCAGGAAGTTATGGGATTTGTTTAGCATCATCACCTTCAAAACAATCTAAACATCATGGTTTTTCATAGATTTTAGGCAAGTAGATTGACATCCCCAAATGCAGTGTAGAATACATGACAAATGTCTTGAATTCATGATGTTGCCTATTGTGTTAGAGTTCACTTTGGATGTTTACTAGTAATGGCGAAAAGGATTTGAGGTTAAGGACCATCTTTGTGTTTGTCAGTTATCACAGACAGTGCCTGAGACTCCTGCTTTTGCTGCTTAATTTCTTTTGACCTTATTTAACATAATCATCTACCAGGTTGTCACTTTGAGTATGACAAAATATGTTTGTGCATTATGCACAAAACATTTTATTGCTACTAATGATAAATTCTTATTATTTTTAGTAATAATTGTATTTTTTTTGTTTTCTTATTCTGCTATCCATCTCATCAAAAACAAAATTTACCAACAAACAAAACTGTAGGTTTTAGAGTCTTTGCCAGAAGATGTAGGGTTTAACATTGAAATAAAATGGATCTGCCAGCAAAGGGTAAGTAATTCTCTATGCAGCACATTCTATACTCTCTATGCCTATCTAAAAAATTCTTTCATTCCTGTCTTTGTATTTTAATGGAATAAGCTAAATTGAAATCTCATTGTGGCTTCCTCCACCAAGCACAATGCTTATTGGACCCTTTAAATAAAACATATCTTGCATTCATGCTAGTATGTGAGTATTTCAAATTAATGATGAATATTGTAGAAATTTCAGTTTACATGTGTCTTGTGTGAACAATATGGTGGTTTTGGGGAGATACTTATAAAGTGGATAGTCACATCTCTTGGATTTAGTTTTTACTTTCTTATTCCCATATAAGAATGTTTTAAATAATTTTCTAAGCAGTTTTCTGTTGTTAACAGTAGCTAGTAATAATTATTCAGGAAAAAAATTTCTGCAATTGTTTTAAATCACTTACAAATTTAGTCATTTTTTTGTTCAACAAATATTTTTTGAAAAGCTGCTATGGACCAGGCATTTTCCAAGTGCTCGGGACAAGTAGTCCACAAAAGAGAATAAGGCCTTGTCTTCCTGGGACTTATATTTCAGTTGTGGAAAACAATTAGCTAACTATTGAATATATCAGAGAGAATATGTGCAGATTGATGGGATGCATTGCAAGGGGCTTGGGGTAGTAGAGTGTGGGGTGTTGAAAGTAGTTAATTCAGATGTCATGATTGGGCATTGAGCAATACCCTTGAATTTGTTTTGGTCAGAATAATCTGTAATTGCCCTCATTATGCTGTTTGTGACAAGCTGGTCCTCATTAATGTAGTGAATTCTCGACTAAGGTTTCCCTAATAATGTGATTTTTAGTTTTCTGAGCTTCTAGAATTATTTCAGTGACTAATACTTAAAACATTTAACATTTGAATGTCAATAGAGCTGGCTTGGTGTCTTGGCTATATTTATTGAGTTACTTTAATTAATTTTTGGTTACTTGATATGCCCAAGACCCAAAGAATGAGACTTTTAAACTGGTAATTAATAATTAGTAGGGACATTTTATTAATTTGTTAGCAGATGATGTGTGTGTCTTATAATTTATGGAAATAAAGTCATAGCAGACTGCAAAATTCTAGAGTTTTAGCTTTTATTTTAACTTTATTAATGCAAAAGTGTATTGATGATATAGTTAATAGTTACTTGCTTTTTGTATGAGAGTCTCTATGTCTGAATTATGACCTGTGTCATCACTAAATAGCTTTGTGATCTTGGGCAGATCACTTAATCTTTTCAGGTTTCATCATCTATAAAATAGTAGTTGGACTAGATACTGTCAGGGGTTTTTTCATCATAGCTTGCCAGAATAAAAACAGAGTTGCTAGCACTGATTTTAGGATGTGCAGTGACTTTTATTTTGCTTTCTCTTTCACTAGGATGGAATGTGGGATGGTAACTTATCAACATATTTTGACATGAATCTGTTTTTGGATATAATTTTAAAAACTGTTTTAGAAAATTCTGGGAAGAGGAGAATAGTGTTTTCTTCATTTGATGCAGATATTTGCACAATGTGAGTAATACTCTGTATTTTTTCCTATACTCTTAGAATGTGTCTAGGACTTAAGGCAGCAGTCTGGAGGTGGGGTAGTTGTCCAGCTTTCCCCCATGATCTGTCCTCTGAAATCATGTCAGGTTGTGTGTTTCCTCATGCCCTTTCTTGACTGTTTGCTAGGGTGCCTGCTACTCCTGTGAAGTCCACACCTACTAGGTCCTAGAGCCTTACACCCTTTATTTTACAGGCAGGTCATATACTCCTTACCATATTGTAAGCTCCCTAGGGATTTATCACTGCCGATATCTGAGAATATTTTAGCTCTTGTATAGAAAAAATTTTAAATTTGTATTTATCTTTTATTAAAAAAAATTGTTTTTGAGACAGGATCTCACTCTGTCACCCAGGCTGCAGTGGTGTGATGATGACACTGCAGCCCTGACCTCTCGGGCACAAGCAGTCCTCCTGCCTTGGCCTCTTGAGTAGCTGGGACTGCACGTGTGTGCCATTAAGACTGGCTAATTTTGTATTTTTTGTAGAAATGAGGTCTCCTCCTCTTTCACAGGCTGGTGTCAAACTCTTAGGCTCAAGTGAGCTTCCTGCCTTGGCTTTCCAAAGTGTGGATTACAGGCATGAGCCACTGCACTGTACCTGGCCTGAAAAGGCAACGCATGTTAATGGTGGTTTTAGCTGAGAAATGGGAATATGTTTCTTTGTTTTCTTTCTTTCTTTTTTTTTTAAATCTATTTATTTATTTGAGACAGAGTCTTGTTCTGTTGCCCAGGCTGGAGTGCAGTGGTGTGATCTCGGCTCACTGCAACCTCTGCCTTCAGGTTTCAAGTGATCTGGTGCCCCAGCCTCCTCGGTAGCTGGGATTACAAGCCTGTGCATGATACTCGGCTAATTTTTGTATTTTTAGTAGAGATGGGATTTCGCCATGTTGTCCAGGCTGGTCTTGAACTCATGACCGCAAGTGCTCTGCCCGCCTTGGCCTCCCAAAGTGTTGGGATTACAGGTGTGAGCCACCATGCCCGGCCTCGTTTGTTTTCTTTATACTTTCAGTGTTTTCTAAAATTCCAAAAAGGAATATTACAGTTACCCCCCATTGAAAGGTATTTTTAAAATTGTTTCTTTTCAGGGTTCGGCAAAAGCAGAACAAATATCCGATACTATTTTTAACTCAAGGAAAATCTGAGATTTATCCTGAACTCATGGACCTCAGATCTCGGACAACCCCCATTGCAATGAGCTTTGCACAGTTTGAAAATCTACTGGTAAGTTATGTTTGAATTTTTATCTTTTTAATGTTCTGTTTTCTATTTTGGAGTAGTAGTAAAGATTTCATATTACTTTACCCATCTAATGTTAACGTTTTGACTAAACTGTAGCAAACAAGTGGCTCTACTTAAAAACGAGGATATTAGATCTCAGGATGAAAAACAATTACATTAAGTACAAAATTTGTTATAGGCATACGTTAAATTTTTTAGTTTAACTTTCTGAATAGATTTTATGAATAATCTAAAAATGTTCAGACTGTATGCCTTTTAAAAATATTATTCCCATTTTACAGATGAACGTGAACTTGTTTTGGTAGAGCATTCCATTAGTACATTTTTTGACTGCACATTCAATATGTATGCTTATACATTATGTATATATTAATATATTGTGAATATATTTATGTATGAAGTGTCCATTAAAAAGAATAAGTTAAAGTAATTGGAAGAAAAAAATCTACCATTTTCTTTTCCCGCCTGCTGTACTTTGGAGAGCACTGATTTAGAGTGTGAGCATTTAGCTTTGCAGTTAATGTTTCTTTTTCATGCACAACTAATTTTTCTTCTTCTAGGGGATAAATGTACATACTGAAGACTTGCTCAGAAACCCATCCTATATTCAAGAGGCAAAAGCTAAGGGACTAGTCATATTCTGCTGGGGTGATGATACCAATGATCCTGAAAACAGAAGGAAATTGAAGGAACTTGGAGTTAATGGTCTAATTTATGATAGGTATTTGTTTTTCATGAAAAATTTTCATGGAATTTAGAAGTATAGATTTCATCTTACGAAATTATAAATAAAATTAAACTTAGTTAAGTTAAAATTCTGCAGTTCAGCCTGAGGTTATCTTGACATTTGCCTGTGGGTGTTTTCAAAGTTTGAAGGATAGCAGAATCACTTGGGAAGCTTGTTAAGGATTCAAATGACTGGGCCTTAACTCAGATATATATACTAAATCACCCTGGGGGTGAGGGTGACTGCCAGCCCTTAGACCTCTTCTCTGTCTATACCAACTTTTTCATTCCTCTTGTCCAATTCTGTGGCTTTTCATAACTTTCTGTGTTCTCACACTTACGTATCTCCAACTCAGACCCTTCCCTAGACCTCTGTAGACTTTTATTTCCAGGTACTGACACCTGTTCCTCTTACAGTCTTCCTGATTTCAGTATAAGTGACAATTCAGACCATATTCTTAGTCTTCCATGACTCTGTTCTTTATCTCATACCCCAAATCCAGTCAGATAGAAAATCTTTTTGTTCTGTCTTCAAAATATATCCTGAATCAGACTACTCACCAAGTTAACTGTTGTCACTCAAGTAAAGCAGCTCATCTTTGGTGTGGATTGTTGAGGTAGCCTGCCCCCTGGTGACTGCCTCTACCCTTAACGGTCAGGCTGTTTATTCTTAGTACAGTAGTGAGAGGGAAGCTTTTAAGACCTATGTCTGATCATGTTGCTACTTAAAACTCTCCCACAGTTTTCTGTGTCACCTAAAGGAAAAGCTGAAGCCTGAGGGCCCTATATGAGCCAATCTGCCACCCCACCACCTTCAACCCTCTTTCCCTCTCTGACCTTCCACAAAATTCCCCCATCTGCTGTTTCCCATTCTTTGGAGAAAGACTTCCGTAACAATTTAAATGTCACCTCAGTGAGGACTTTCTTGAATAACTGATTTCAAATAACAACTTCTATTCACAGTGCACTCCCTGACTTGTCTCCATATCATTTATCATCATCTGACACACCACATATTCTGTGTTACATTTTACTTGTTTTTCTCCCTAGCCCCTTTCCTCCATCCTCCTGGGCACTAATGCACACATGCAAATGAGAATATAGGCTCCATGAGGAGGGCAAGGCTGTTTGCCTGATTTGTTCATTGCTATTGAGGTTAGAACAATGTGGGGCATCCAGTAGGGAGTCAAATAATTTATTGAACAAATATTTTTTTTTCCATCAGCTTCTTTGGCAGCCACTAATCTGAGAGTCAAAAAGGTTTCTTTAGTATAAAGATATTTGGGGTTAGAAGGGATGTCATTTACTCTGCTGAGGGATTAGCAGACTTGCTCATACAGGTGTACCTCAGCGATAGTGAAGGCTGGGATCCAGACCACCACAGCAAAGCAAGTCCTAAATCTTTTGGTTCCGAGTGCATATAAATGTTATGTTTAGGCCGGGCGCAGTGGCTCACGCCTGTAATCCCAGCACCTTGGGAGGCTGAGGCGGGCAGATCATGAGATCAGGAGTTTGAGACCAGCCTGACCAACATGGTGAAACCCTGTCTCTACTAAAAATACAAAAATTAGCCGGGTGTGGTGGCACATGCCTGTAATCCTAGCTGCTCGGGGCTGAGGCAGGAGAATCACTTGAACCCAGGAGGCAGAGGTTGCAGTGAGCCGAGATCGCGCCACTGCACTCCAGTCTGGGTGACAGAGTGAGACTCTGTCTAAAAAAAAAGTTATGTTTATACTACATTGTAGTTTACCAAGTGTACAGTAGCGTTGTGTCTGAGAAAACACAGTATATATCTTAATTTTAAAATACGTTATTACTAGGAAATGCTAACAATCTACCTTCAGCAAATCATAATCATTTTGCTGCTGGAGGGTCTTGCTTTGATGTTGATGGCTGCTGACTGATTAGGGTGGTGGTTGCTGAAGGTTGAGGTGGCTGTGGCAGTTTCTTAAAATAAGACACAAATGAAGTCTGCTGTACCCGTGGACTCTTCCTTTTACACAATATTTCTCTGTTGCACATGATGGTGTTTAAGAGCATTTTTCACCCACAGTAAAACATCTTTTTTATTTGTTTTTGCTTTTTGAGACAGAGTCTCACTCTTAATACCCTGGCTGGAGTGCAATGGCATGATCTTGGCTCACTGCAACCTCCATCTCCTGGGTTCAAGCGATTCTTCTGCCTCCTGGGTAGCTGGGATTACAGGCGCACGCCTGCCACCATGCCTGGCTAATTTTTGTATTTTTACTAGAGAAGAGGTTTTGCCATGTTGGCCAGGTTCTTGAACTCCCGACCCCAAGTGATCCACCCGCCTTGGCCTCCCAAAGTGCTGTGGGATTACAGGTGTGAGCCACCGCGCCCTGCCAAAACATCTTTATTTTTATTTTATTATTATTTTTTTGAGATTGAGTCTCGCTCTGTCGCCCAGGCTGCAGTGCAATGGCACAATCTCGGCTCACTGCAACCTCCGCCTCCCAGGTTCAAGTGATTCTCCTGCCTCAGCCTCCCGAGTAGCTGGGACTGCAGGCATGCACAACCACATCCAGCTAATTTTTGTATTTTTGGTAGAGACAGGGTTTCACCATATTGGCCTAGGCTGTTCTTGAATTGCTGACCTCAGGTGATCTGCCTGCCTTTACCTCCCAAAGTGCTGGGATTACAGGTGGCCACCACTCCCTGCCCCACAGTAGTAAGTACATCTTTAAATTGGAGTCCATCTTCTCAAACCCTGCTGCTGCTTTATTCACTAAGTTTATGTAATATTCTGAATCTCTTGTTGTCATTTAAACAATGTTCAGAGCATCTTTGTTGGGTGGATTTGTCTCAAAAAACCATTTTCTTTCCTCATCCATAAGAAGCAACTCCTCGTCTGTTAAAGTTTTATCATGAGATTGCAGCAATTCAGTCACATCTTTAGGTTCCACTTCTATTTCTAGGTCTCTTTCTATTTCCACCACATCTGCAGTGACTTCTTCCACTGAAGGTTTGAACCCCTCTGGCATCTATGAGGATTGATATCAGCTTCTTCCAAATGCCTGTTAATGTTGATATTTTGATCTTGTCCCATGAATCAGAAATGTTCTTAATGGTATCTGGAATGATAAAAAGTTTTCAGTTTACCTTGCCAAGATCCTTCAGAGGAATCACTGTCTGTGGCAGCTACAGTCTTTGAAATGTATTTCTAAGGTAATAAGACTTGAAAGTCAAAGTGACTCCTTGATCCATGGGCTGCAGAATGGATTTTGTGTTAACAGGTATGAAAGCAGCAATCTCTGTTAGAGTTCTTGGGTGACCAGGTGCATTGTCAATGATCAGTAATATTTTTTCTTCCTGAGCCGTACGTCTCAACTATGGGCTTAAAATATTCAGTAAACCATGCTGTGTACAGATGTGTTGTCATCCAGACTTTGTTGCATTTCTGGAGCACAGACAAAGTAGATTTAGCGTAATTCTGAAGGGCCCTACAATTTCCAGAGTGTTAAATGAGTATTGGCTTCAACTTAAACTCATCATCAGTTGTATTAGCCCCTAACAAGAGAAGCAGCCTGTTATTTGAAGCTTTGAAGCCAGGCATTGACATCTCTCAAGCTGTGAAAGGTCTAGATGGGCATCTTCCAATAGAAGGCTGTTTTGTCTACATTGAAAATCTGTTGTTCGGCCGGGCCTGATGGCTCACGCCTGTAATCCCAGCACTCTGGGAGGCCGAGGTGAGCGGATCACAAGGTCAGGAGATGGAGACCATCCTGGCTAACACGGTGAAAACCCGTCTCTACTAAAAATACAAAATAATAATAATAATAATAATTAGCCGGGCGTGGTGGCGGGCGCCTGTAGTCCCAGCTACTCGGGAGGCTGAGGCAGGAGAATGGCCTGAACCGAGGAGTCGGAGCTTGCAGTGAGCAGAGATCACACCACTGCACTGCAGCCTGGGTGACAGAGCGAGACTCTGTCTTAAAAAAAAAGAAAAGAAAATCTGTTGTTCAATGTAGCCACTTTGTTAAGTGATCTTAGCAAGACCTTCTGGATACCTTAACTGCAGCTTCTCCATCAGCACTTGATACTTAACTTTGCACTTTTACGTTATGGAGACAGCTTCTTTTTCCTTAAACTTCATGAACCAACTTCTGTTGGGTTCCAACTTTTCTTCTGCAGCTTCTTTACCTCTCTCAGCCTTGATAGAACTGAAGAGAGTTAAGCCCTTTGAATTAGGTTTTGGCTTAAGGAAATGTTTTGGCTGGTTTGATCTTCTATCCAGGCCATTAAAACTTTCTCCTTATCAGCAATAAGGCTGCTTTGCTTTCTTTTCATTGTTGTGTTCACTGTAGTAGCACTTTCAATTTCCTTCAAGGACTTTGCATTCATAACTTGGTTAACAGTTTGGTTCAAGAGGCCCAGCTTTCAGCCTATCTTAGTTTTTAACATGCCTTCCTCACTAATCTTAATCATTTCTAGTTTTTTATTTAAATTGAGAGATTTAAGACTCTTCTTTCACCTGAGCACTTAGGGGCCATTGTAAGGTTAATTGGCCTGATTTCAGTATGGATGTGTCTCTGAGAATAGGGAGGCCAGAGGAGAGGTAGAAAGTTAGGGAGGGGAGAGGCTGGTCAGTGGAGCAGTCAGAACACACTGATTTATGGGTATGATTCGTGGCACCTCAAAACAATTACAATAGTGACATCAAAGATCACTAATCATAGATCACCATATCAGATAGAATCATAATGAACTTTGAAATATTGTGGGAATTATCAAAATGTGACGCAGATATGAAGTGAGCAGATGCTGTTGGGAAAATGGCACCAACAGACTTGCTGGATGCAGGGTGGTCACAAAGCTTCAATTTGTAAGAAACACAGTATCTGAAAAGCGCAGGTGGGGCATGGTGGTTCATGCCTGTAATCCCAGCACTTTGGGAGAAGACCCCATCTCATATAAAATAAAATTAAATTATAAGAAATTTAAAAAAAGACGAAGTGCAGTAAGACGAAGATTGCCTGTGCTTGAGAAGTGTTACACAAAGAGTAAGTGATAAAATCTCACTAGGCCTGCTTTAAACAATACATTCCTTGGATTTGGCTCATATTACTATTCTTCCCATAAAGTTATATTACTTTCTGAATAAAGCTTGTTTTCCTTCCAGTATTTTGTCTCAATTAGTTTGGTTTTAAAATTGTAGTCCAAGTAAATCCTACCTACCTGCCTTTTAAACTATTTGGTTAATTTTGCATGAAATAGCATGAGTGACGCATAGCGCTCTTCAGCATTTCCAACTAATTTAATTAAAATTTTAAATAATTTGGAACAAGTACTGGCTTTAGCAAATTTTTGAATGTATATGGTTATATGTGTATTTTTGTTACAAGGAATGATTACAAATATTTTCTGACAAGGAAGTATATTATGAGATTATATCATTTATGGTTTTGTAGAGTATACAAATTTCAGGCAGATTCTTCATCTCAAGGGCTTTACTTGGTTGAAATCAAATGTTGACATTTAATGGAGAACAGGAAGATACATGATATAACAGGTGCTCAAGAAAGTTCTTCCTGGCTTGGAGCTTTAAAGAGGAAGAATTGAGTTGGAATTTGGGGAGTGGTTATGTTTACTTTGACAAGATTTGTGTTCTAGGCAGAGGCAAGAGTGTAAATCAGGGCATGACTGTTGAGGGTTTCAGGGAGGTGGCCAGGCACTGGATTCCTAATAGGGTCTGAGGAGGGGAAAGGTGGGTTATGTTGAGTTGGTTTTTACCCTCAACATTTTTTTTTAATTTTATTCAAAAAAGCATGTGTATATAGTTTTAAAATTCAAATAGTTTGATAAGTCTTATAATAAAATACCAATAATTTCTTGTACCTATTTCTTCCATTGTCTCTGGCTGAGACCGTGTCCCCTCAAATCTTTATTTGGCTCTTCTGGCAGTTACCTCTATTTCTAAATAATCTGCTTATGCTATTTTTTCCATTATCAAATTTAGATATCACATAGAAGGTTTTGAATGATTAGTGACTTGGAGCCTTTGAGGCATTTTGGATTGGAGAGAGGTGTGGTGAGAGTGTGTGAGTGTGTTTTCAATTATCAAACACTCAACTGCTACATATCATTTTCTGGTATTTTGTTTGGAAAATTTGCACTTAGGATGATGAGTAAGAGGCCGTTCTTTTTATTTTTTTGAGACAGAGTCTTTGTCACCCAGGCTGGAGTGCAGTGGCACTGTCTCGGCTCACTGCAACCTGGGTTCAAGTGATTCTCCTGCCTTACCCTCCAGCTCCTGGGTTCAAGTGATTCTCCTGCCCCAGCTGTAGTTTTGTATAGTTTCAAGCTTTAAATATACTTCATAAAACTTGTAATTATGTTCTTAAAATTAACATATTGTTGCATGTAGCTATACCTTACTCCTTTTCGTGGTCTTGTTAATATTCCATTGTTGTCTTTACCACAACTTAGACTGCTATTTAGGAACATTTAGGTTGCTGCCAAGTAATTGCTATTTTATAGTGTTGCTGTGAACATTATTGATAGTACAATGACTTTCAAACCTTTTTGCACCCAGCTTATTTTATGCGGCAACCCAGTACACAGATAAGGTATATTTACAAGTATGCACCTGAAACAATTCCAAGTGTCCTTTAGATACTTCCTGTTCATGCGTGTACTTCTTTGTGTGTGTGCGCTTAAATGCTAGTCTTAACTTTCCGAACTGTTTGTGTGACCCGCTAGGTCTCTAGCTCAGCACATCTGCCTGTGGGTCAGGCATAGGAGGTATAGCAGGAGTGGGCTGTCCTGTATTTCCTGGTTCTACACTCACTGTAGCCTGTTACCAGTTCTCAGGAGTAGGCCAAAGCATTATAATCCTGCAGGTAATGTGGAAACTTAATCAGCACATGGTTAGACCATATTTAAGTAATATGCCAGTTCAGGCTCATGAGGGCACTCTGTTCTTAGGTTAACATAGCTGCTAGAGTGACAGTGTCTCTCTCGGAGTAATAGCCCTCAATACGTCTGCCTCTCCACCGGGCTGCTCCAGTACTGATTGGTTGATTGTGCACAGCTGTCATCCTGTGCCCTGCCATTCTCTGTGTTAGATCTCCTGTTTCCTGTAGCTCATATCTTTTCCTCTCTTGGTTCAATGAGTTTTATGGGACATGTCTTTCAGCATCTTCTTAAGAAAGGTGGACACAGGAGGTAAATGTTTTTGAGGTTTTATATGTCCAGAAATATCATGGCTGTGTATAGAACTCTATGTTAGAAATACTTTAGAATTTTAGAAACATTCTCCATCATCTTTACCATTCCAGTGTTGTTGCTCAGTGTGAAGCCACCTTGATTATGTTCTCACACATGTAATCTGTGTTTCCTGTTTGGAAGCTTTGAGGGTCTTCCTTTTATTACCAGAGTTTGGGAATTCTATAGAGATGTGTTTTCTTGTGGGTCTGGCTTTGCCCACTTTGCTGGACACTTGGTAACCCTTTTAGTCTGTCAATACATGTTCTTAAACACAGGAAAATTTTTTCAAAAATAATTCTTTTGATTTTTGACCCTTTCAATTTTCTTGATTTTTTTCTTTATAGAAGTCTTTTTGTTTGAATCAAATAGCTCTTGGACCAGATTTTTGATTTTTTTTTCCTCCTATTTTGTCTTTTTTTTTTTTTTTTTGCTTCATTTGAAAGGTTTTCTCAATCTTACTTTCTACTCATTCTGTTGAGCTTTTATGTTTTTTGTTTGTTTGCTTTGTTTGTTTTTTTTTTGAGATAGTCTCACTCTATCATCCAGGCTGGGGTTCAGTGGTGCGATCTGGGCTCACTGCAACCTCTGTCTACTGGGTTCAAGCAAATTCTCATGCCTCAGTCTCCCAAGTAGCTGGGCCTACAGGCGCACGCCACCATGCCTGGCTAATTTTTTGTATTTTAGTAGAGACAGGGTTTCGCCATGTTGCCCAGGCTGGTCTTGAACTCCTGAGCTCAGGCAATTTGCCTTTCTTGTCCTCCCAAAGTGCTGGGATTACTGGTGTGAGCCACCGTGCCTGGCCTCTGTTGAGTTTTTCATGTCTGCTATTGTGTCTTTAATTTCCAAGAACTATCTTTTTTTCTCTGAATGCATTTTTTTCCATATATTTAGCATCCTATTCTCATTTAATGAACATGCTATTTCCCTGAAGTCATTAAGGATTTTTTTTTTTTTTTTTTTTTTTGAGGCAGGTTCTCTCTCACTCTGCTGCCCAGGTTGGAGTGCAGTGGCACAATCTCAGCTCACTGCTCCCTTGACCTCCTGAGTTCCAGTCCTCCCACCTCAGTGAATGAGACTTCTCTTACATCTTAGCAACATTTGGATGGAAATTAAATTTAAATCCAGTCCACTCTAGTAGTTTTTGAAGAGGCTTTGATTCAGCTCCAAAATCTCGATTGCTTGACTTGGTCTCTTATGAGAATACTCAGAAGAATACTCAGAAGGTGTCTTCTTAAACAACAAACCTATTTTTAGTGGTGGAGCTGTTTTTAGTAGCTGTGTCTGCATGGGACTGATAACCAATCACGATGTTTGGAGGAAGTCCTAACCTTTCCTTGTATACCCTCTCTATATGTGTAACAGCTTCTCTGTTTTCACATTCAGTAGTCCATACTGCTATCTTATCACCTTTAGCTCTAACATTAAGAACAGCTGCACATATATCATCACTGAGTCATCAAAAGATTCTCCAATAAGACACAGTAGAGTCTCTAGCCAAAAGTGATTGAGGTCCCTTCATCTCTGCTGTTTGTTCAATGTAAATTAGCCATCATCCTCCCTGTTTGTTTTTCTCATCTTCCCACATGGGCTCAACACCATCCTTAAAAAGTGAGTAGTCACAGCCAGACATTAAATTACTAGACAACTGGATATGGTTGTACAGAGCCCAAAAGTCAACAGGATCAAACTTAGAGATCAGCGGCAGGTTTGCTTGTCAAGTTTTGCTTTTATCTTTTTTAAAAAAACCAGAGTGCCCATCTGTTCTGTAGAGGATGTTTAATATAGTGTTCTGGGTTAGCAACCTCCTGATTAGATTCTGTTTTCTCCTCTTCACAGGGGGATTAGGAGTAGGGGTGGTTTCTGGTTTGACAGTCCGCCGTCTTACATCGATCTGCTCCTGCTTTTAACTCTGCTCTTGTTTCCTACCACTGGCCTGGGAGCCAGCCTTTTCAGTTCTCTCACTGACAAACTTTCAGTTCTTATTTATCCATCTGTTTTCCAGCTTTCAAAATGTTGTAGCTTTGTCTCTTGGGTTTTTCTCTTACTTACGGATTTTATTGAAAAGAATCTTTGTTTTATTTTTAATGGAATATAGGGAGAGAACGAAGTTAGATGCTTCTGTTCTGTCTTGATACCTTGACCCAGAGGTCATTTTTCATTCTCTTAGATATGTCTTTAATAATTAATAGAAACTCTTTGTTTTAATACAGTCAGATATTTATTAGAGTCACCATATTTTTTATCGTGTTGAAAAAATTCTTTCCTACTGTGATGTCATAAAGATTCTCTGATACTGCCTTACATAGTTGCCTGGCTGTCACATTCAGGCACAGGAGGCCATCTTTTCTCTGCTGATGGGTAGTGCCAGTGTCAGGTCACCAGAGGCTCTTTCAGAGTTCTCCACTCTGGACGTGTCTGACGTTATTGAGCAGCTTTAGAGTAGTTCCCACGCTGGTAAGCAGTCTTCTTATCTCGATCTTTAGTGACTTTGAAGTCAGAGCAGTCAGTTTTTTATAGATTTCCATTTGTTAAAAAAAGGCAAGTTGGAGGGCAAATACTTTAAGCTAGATCACAAGTAAACTAGACATTTCATTTTCTGATTCAGCTGCTTTATGTTGAGCTCCATTGCATCGGGGGTACAAAAGGGCAATGCTGCTATTCTGGATTATTGGAAAGACTGGGAAGAAGAGAAATTTTAAAAAAGAGAATGGATACTTTCATCTTTAAAACAAAACAAAAACTCTGATGTGGATGTTCCAGGCATTCTGTAAATGAATTCTTATGAAAAGGTTGAGTCAGGCAGGTCTTAGGTAAACCATAAAATTACAGTATTTTATGTGTTTTGTATTTGTTTCATCATAGGATATATGATTGGATGCCTGAACAACCAAATATATTCCAAGTGGAGCAATTGGAACGCCTGAAGCAGGAATTGCCAGAGCTTAAGAGCTGTTTGTGTCCCACTGTTAGCCGCTTTGTTCCCTCATCTTTGTGTGGGGAGTCTGATATCCATGTGGATGCCAACGGCATTGATAACGTGGAGAATGCTTAGTTTTTATTGCACAGAGGTCATTTTGGGGGCGTGCACCGCTGTTCTGGGTATTCATTTTTCATCACTGAGCATTGTTGATCTATGCCTTTTGGGCTTCTCAGTTCAATGAAGCAATAATGAAGTATTTAACTCTTTCACTACAGTTCTTGCAAGTATGCTATTTAAATTACTTGGCCAGGTATAATTGCCAGTCAGTCTCTTTATAGTGAGAAAATTTATTGGTTAGTAATATAAATATTTTAAACTAAATATATAAATCTATAATGTTAAACATATGTTCATTAAAAGCATAGCACTTTGAAATTAACTATATAAATAGCTCATATTTACACTTACAGCTTTTCATTTGATCAGGTCTGAAATCTTTAGCACTTAAGGAAAATGACTATGCATAATTATACCTGACCATGAAAAAAATAAGTACCTCAAATGCATGCATTTGCACTGGTGATTCCAACTGCACAAATCTTTGTGCCATCTTGTATATAGGTATTTTTTACATGGGTTGACATGCACACAACACCATTTTCATTCAGTATGAACCTTGAGGCTGCTGCCATTTTTCCACTTAACCAAACCAGCCTGAAGGTGAACCTCGAAACTTGTTTCATAAATCTTTCAAAAGTTGTTTTACATCAATGTTAAAATTTCAAAATGCTGCAGGGTAATTTAATGTATAAAATATTAGTAAGAAAAAGTATGTATTGCATACTTAGTAGAATAGATCACAACATACAAATTCAATTCAGTGCATGCTTTAGGTGTTAAGCATGAGATTGTACATGTTTACTGTTAGGTCCTTGCATCTGTGGTGCTAGGTGAGTATGAGAAGATGTCAAGGACTGGACGTATTTTGTTGCCTAAAAAAAAAAGGCTGTTTGTAGGCGTTTTAAATATGCTTATTTTGTGTGTCTCTCACTACCTATTACACACTGTTGCTTTGTGGGTTTGTTTTGTATGTGCGTGTGTTATACAGTAGTTAAATTTCCATGCAGAAAAATAAATGTCCTGAATTTTCATATTAGTATTCTTTATTGTATATCATGCATGTAATTTATTTAGAAATGTAGGTCTTACTAAATGTATATGCATGTATTTCAGATTATACTAGGATTTCTTGGATTAGAAGCAGATTGTGTTAACTGTAACTTAAAGAATGAATGTTAAATAAAATGATACAGATTTATTTTCTTCATTACAAAATGAAATTTCAAGAAGGTGTTACTTTTGTAGAATGGTTTTATAATATGACAAGAAATTTTAATATAGTGTCTACCCTAAAGGGATGGCTTATTTGCATCTACCTTTTACTGCATGTTTTTCACAAGGCAGTTTATTCATATATTGACATATTTTGGTAGTAGCTGAGAACCTAAGACTTGAAATTATACATTGTGTAGTATTTTTTAAGCTAAGCAATGCAATTTTGGTCAGATCTTATTTGTGTGAAGATAGGCTCTGAAATCCTATGGTATTGCGTTTGTAACGTTGATATTAATGCAAAATAGTTTAGGAAATGGAGTCTTCTGCAAGGGTTCTGTATACTTTTCCCACATTGTATGAGATTTTCCAAAATTTTGGTGTGAATTGGGCACTTTTGGAAAACTCCTGAAAAAGAATTAGTTTCCTTCATCTGCAGACCTTTGTCCAATACGGTTACCATTTCTTTATAGTAACTCGATTAGCCATATATGTTTGTTTCTAGTCCTGCTCCTTTGCTCCTCTCCTATGCCTTCCCAGTGCTGGCTCCATTTTGAAGACTCAAGGACAGAGGGGAAGCAGATCATAAAGAGAAAAAGGAGACAGAAGAAAGGATGAAGGAAGGAGGTCATGGGGAGTGTGGCTTCTGAGCAGTTTAGTTGCTGGGGAGAGCAGACAGTCACTGCCTACAATACAGACAGAACCTTCCTGCTCACTTTCTGTCCTATCTCTTCCTGACCTTATGAACCAGTGTTAGTAGATGATTAAAACATGACAAGCAATGGCTCCTTATTTTCACAGGACTAAGTCCGGGCCTTCGTATCACTAGCTGTTGCCTTTTACACCCTGCTTCAGCCACCCTGTCCCTGTCATTGGCCCTGGACTTCCTCTCTGTGCCCGTGTGTCCTCTGCCTGGGAGCCCTCTCCTCCCATAGTCACTTTCTCTCTGCCAAACTCATTTCTTCTTGTGCCCAAGACCTCTCTCCTGAGCCCTTGTGGAAACTTCAGGAAGGATGAATCCGTCTTTGTGCTCCACGGCTCGTACCTTGATCAGGCTGTGCATCACAGTAATTCTGTTCTAGGTAGGCAGAGTTGATCTTTGTCTCATCTGCCAGGCTGCAGGCTCTTCAAGGGCAGGGACCTTGTCATAGTCATTTTTATTTTCACAGTGCTTGGAACATGGTGGAAAATGAATGTTGGAATTATTGGAGTAATATAATTTGTATCAAATGTCCTTTTGAATTAAGAGATTTAGTTATGTTTACTAAGAATGTAAACTTTGAATTGGTTTGCATTTTAACAATTAGGATGGTTTATTGATGTGAATTTTGAAATGTAGAGGTATAATGTTAAATTATTTTATACTTTATGGAAATCAAGTGAAATGTTTGAAAAAATGCCGCCATTATCCTCTGGTATTTTCTACTCTCTGGAATTATGTGCTGTAAATGATCGGCTGTAAATGTGAGGCACACCACCCACCCCTGTGTGGAAAGTGTTGTGGCGCTTCCTGCCACCCACCCACCTCTCTGCCGTTGCTCCTTGTGACACTTGTCTGTCGTCTCCCATCCAAACTCCAAGCTTACAGCTACCTCAGTACTGCTTTGCTTGTCTGAAACACCTCCTTTGCCTTCCTTCAGTGTCCCGCTCAGGTGCAGCCTCCTCCCTAAAGCTCATCTCAGCTTTTGATCTGAATGATGATGGAAACATGCAGACAGCCTCTCAGTCTTACTATTTAATGTTGTAGCTGGGAAAAAACCCAGAGAGGTTAACTGATATACTGGGTTGGGACTAGGATGTGGGTTTTGTGACTCTGAATCCCATGTTCTCAAACTACGCTGCCTTCCGAAGTCTGGCATTTGTTAGCTCATGCTTCCTTGTAGTCCAGCTTCTTATGTGCCTGTTATATTCTCCAGTAAGATTGTAAGCCCCTTAAGGGCAGGGACGTCTTTGCATCTCTAGCACTGCTATAGTGTTCTATCCTTAGTTATGAACTAGATAAATAAATGGTGGTGGCAACAATCCTAGTTTCCTAACTCAGATTGTTTCACGATAAACACAGTTTTGTATGGCATGCTTGGCCATAATGTCTGGAGTATGTGTGTGCTCACATATGCGTGTGTGTGTTTGCATGGGTTTGTATGTTTACCAATGGAGTTCTCTGTCCTGGTTGCTTGGAGTCATGTATTTGATGGATTATGCTAAAACCAATTTTTTGCTCCATGCAGACTGAGGAGAAATACAGGGATAGTTATTCCATTTAAGTGGAAGAAGAAGGTACAGTTTTTCCCCCAGGCCTGGTTGCCTCTTCCTGGGACAGCACACCTAAGTCCCGCAGTTGGTGGACTGGTAGTGAAAAGGGCGCTGCCTTGGATAGGAATTGTGTGGCCTGGGGCAGGTCGCCTCATTAGTCCTGGTGGACACTCATTGCCCTTTCTGCCTAGGCTCGCTCTCTATGCCTCTGACTAAATTCTGCCTCTCACATTATTACTGGCTTGGTACTCTAGGCTGATAATGGAGTCCTATTAATTGAGATTTGGATACAGTTGATTTATTCCTTTGCATTTTAGTTTTGGATCATGTATTTTTGGGGTAGAAAGCAAAGTATTTGTATTGGAAATACTGCATGATTTTGGCACTCATGATTGGAAACTCATTCCAACATGACCTGTTAGTGAGCTTGTACAACTTGAGAAGTAGGTTTGAGGTTTTTAAAATGCAAGAGACCATATGATGAAGACTACCATGCAAATGTATGTGGAGATGAGGAGGGGAGATGATAGGCTGGAACAGGTGGAGACTTCATAGAGTTCTCAAGCTCTTACAGATAGAGGTACAGGTCAAGGGAGTTGTGAAACCAGTTTGGGTGGCAGTCTGCATAAAGTCAGAGGCCAGGGTCATATTCGTGGTGTGTTCAGGAGGAATGAAGGAGCCATTTTGACAATGGAGAATATATTGTGAATGCCAGAGAGAAGCTTAGCATGGTATAGGAGATAAAAGTTAATGACTGTTAAGAAGGGAAATGACATGAAAGTCAAGTGTTTAAAAGTAATGAGGAAAGTAATATTAGTATAGGAATAATAAGAGGGATACTATAATTTATCTAGTCCTCTACTAAATTTACTTAAACATGAAAATAGAAATGTGGGTAGGATGGGTGAACTTCTGAAGCTTACTTGCAAAGCCAAACTACTTAATTTAACAGGAAGAAAGCTATAAAAGCTCAGCAAAAGTTCGGTGGCATCTCACAGTTTTAAATGTATCTCTCTGCAGACCAGACCTCTCAAATAAGTTCTAGATTCATACATCCAACTGTGTCCCCATCTCCACTTTAAGGTCTAATAAGCATCTCGCACTTAACATACCTCAACAGAGCTCTTCCTTCCTCCTTCCTTCTACCAAACCTGCTCCCATTCCACCTCCTCCCAAGTTCTGTCTCAGTGTGTGGTACCTGGGAGTCATCCATGCGATTAGTATAGCTTTATGTTATGTGTGTTAGGGTAGTTGCTCAATATTTTTAAATAACTTTTAAAATAACTTTTAAATATTTTAAAATAACTTGATACTTTATCAAATGCCAGAAGAGTTCGCTTGAGAGTCTGATCAGTGTTGGACTAATTTGCTACATTAAGAATATAGCAGGGGCCGGGCGCAGTGGCTCCTGCCTGTAATCCCAGCACTTTGGGAGGCTGATCACCTGAGGTCAGGAGTTCGAGACCAGCCTGGCCAACATGGTCAAACCCCATCTCTACTAAAAATATAAAATTGGCCGGGCATGGTGGCGGGAGCCTGTAATCCCAGCTATTCGAGAGGCTGAGGCAGGAGAATCACTTGATCCTGGAAGGTGGAGGTTGCAGTGAGCCGAGATCACGTCACTGCACTCCAGCCTGGGTGAAAAAACTAAAATTTGTTTGGAGAGGCAAAGGAACTAGAATAGCTAAAAACAATTTTGAGCAAGAAGCAAGTGGGAGGAATCACTCTACCTGATTTTAAAACTTACGTAACTACAGGAATCAAAACTGGTACCGGCGGAAGGATAGATACATAGATCAGTGGCCTAGAATAGAAAAATCCACACAAGCACAGCCAAATGCTTTTTGACAAACATGCAAAGGCAATTCAATGAAGGATTGAAAGAAGGATGGTCTTTTTAAGAAATGATGCTGGAGCGGCCAGGCGTGGTGGCTCACGCCTGTAATCCCAGCACTTTGGGAGGCCGAGGTGGGTGGATCACTTGAGGTCAGGGGTTCGAGACCAGCCTGGCCAACATGGCAAAATCCCATCTCTACTAAAAATACAAAAATTAGTGGTGGCATGCGTCTGTAATCCCAGCTACTTAGGAGGCTAAGGCATGAGAATCGCTTGAACCTGGAAGGCGGAGGTTGCAGTGAGCCAAGATTGTGCCATTGTACTCCAGCCTGGGCAACAGAGTGAGACCCTGTCTCAAAAAAAAAAAGAAAAAAATGCTGGAGCAATGGGACATCCAATGCCACGAGAGTGAACGTTACACCTATACAAGAAGTAACTCAGAATCATAGATTAAAATATAAAACCCCAAATCTTTTAGCAGATAACAGGCTGGGTGTGGTGGTTCACACTTGTAATCCCAGACCTTTGAGATGAAGACTAGTCTGAGCAACACAGCAAGATCTCATTGCTACAAAAATTTAGAATATTAGCCCAGCATGGTAGCATGCACCTGTGGTCCCATCTACTCCGGAGGCTGAGGCAGAAGGATTGCTTGAACCCAGGTGGTTAAGGCTGCAGTGAGCCATGATTGTGCCACTGCATTCCAGCCTGGGTAACAGAGCAAGACCCTGTCTCCAAAAAAAAAAGATAATGTAGGAGAAAATCTTCAGGACCTAGGGCTTGGTAAAGAACTCTCAGACATGACACCAAAAGTACCATTCATAAAATTTAAAAATCAATAAACTGGACTTTGTAAAAATGTAAAACTGTTGCTCCATGAAAGACCCATTAAAAGGACAAAAAGGGCCAGGCATAGTAGCTCACGCCTGTAATCCCAGCACTTTGGGAGGCTGAGGTGGGCAGATTGCTTGAGTCCAGGAGTTCAAGACCAGCCTGCACAACAGGGTGAAACCTCATCTCTACAAAAAATACAAAAATTAGCTAGGTGTGATGGCACATGCCTGTAGTCCCATCTACTCAGGAGGCTGAGGTGGGAGGATCACTTCAGCCCTGAAGGTTGAGGCTACAATGAGCCGAGATTGTGCCCATGCACTCCAGTCTGGGCAACAGAGCAACACCGTCTCAAAAAAAAAAGAATAAAAAGACAAGTTTACAAAGTGAGAGATAAATTTGCAAAACAAATCTCTGACAACGAACTCTGAAAATTCAACGTTAATAGCCAGGTGCAGTGATGCCTGTAGTTCCAACTACTGCTGAGTGGGAGGATCACTTGAGCCCAGGAGTTCAAGGCTGTAGTGAGCTGTGATTGTGCCACTGCACTTCAGCCTGGGTGACAGAGCAAGACCTTGTCATAAAACAACAACCAAGAAAAAAAAATGAAAATTCAGTTTAAAAATGAGCAAAAGATATGAGGATATGTCATATTAAAGATGATATAAGAATATCAAACACATGATAAGACATTTAACATCATTAGCCATTAAGGAAATGCAAATTAAAGTCATGATGAAGGCCAGGCCTGGTGGCTCACACCCGTAATCTCAGCACTTTGGGAAGCCAAGGTGGGTGGATGACTTGAGGTCAGGAGTTTGAGACCAGTCTGGTCAACATCTCTACTAAAATACAAAATTAGCCAGGCGTGGTGGCACATGCCTGTAATCCCAGCTACTCGGGAAGCTGAGACAGGAGAACCTCTTGAACCTGGGAGGCAGATGTTGTAGTGAGCCAAGATCATGCCACTGCACTCCAGCCTGAGCAATACAGTGAGACTCCATCTCAGGAAAAAAAAAAAAAAAAAAAAAAAAAACATACCCAATGGGTAAATGGTCTCCAAGTTCCTAGAAACCAACTTTATAAGTGATCTTTAGAAGCACAGTTTCTTGTGTCAACTAGTGTCTCTAGTTGAGATAGTAGTGAGAGTCTGTCTCCACTGACTTTCAGCAAGGTTGTTCCATGAGAAAAGGGCCAAGGTTTGGGGAATGAGTGTGATGAAGATATCCCAGGCTTGGTGTTAGAAGGAAGTGGCCATGTGGATAGCAGACGCAGAGGTGCCTAGGCTCCCAGCATGTTTCTGTAATTGCCTGATGGGCTTGTCCTCCCCATTGCACAGACAAAATCAATTCACTGAGACCATGGCATTACAGTGAAGAGTTTAATTGATGCAAGACCCACCACCACACAGGAGATGGAGTTATTACTCAAACTGATCCCTGTGAAGGCTTTGAGTTTAGCGGTTTTCAAGTATAGTTTGGTGGGCAGGGGACTAGGGAATGCTACTAATTGGTTGGGGATGCTATCACAGGGGCATGGAAAATGGTTTGCCTCTGAGTGGGGGTCCCAGAGGACTGCTTAGTCATGAGTCATGAGTCTGGGTGGAGTTAGCCAATTGTCAGAAGTGCAGAAGTCTGAATAGACACCTCAAAAGACCAATCTTAGGTTCTACAATAGTGATGTTATCTACAAGAGAGATTGGGGAAGTTGCAAATCTTGTGACCTCCGGAACAATGGCTGTTTTTCCTTTACGCCTCCATCCTAGCAGAATTCGGGCCCTTCTCATTCTCCTAACCTTGCGGCCTTTCATTAGTTTTACAAAGGTGATTTAGTTTTGGGAAGGGCTATGGTAGTCTAAGGTTAAACTATAAACTAAATGTCTCCCAAAGTTAGTCTGGCTTATGCCCAGAAATGACCAAGAACAGCTTGGAGGTTAGAGGAAGGATGAAGTCAGCTATGTTAGATTTCTCTGTCTAATTTTGCAAAGGCAGTTTCATGTGGAGGACTCTGCCAGAGATACAGAATTTGTGCACCATGCCTCAGCCTCTCTTCTTTTAGGAAATATCCCAGAGATGCACATGGCACATAAATTCCCAGCTGGTCCCTTCTGGGAATTTGTAGGTGCGTCTTGGAAGATTCCCCAATGTCCATGTGTTGGACAGTCCTCCCACCTCAGCCCCGCAAGTAGCTGGGACTACGGCGCATGCCACCATGCCTAGCTGGGACTACAGGTGCGTGCCACCCACCTTCCCCTCTGAAAGCATTTCATGGTTGTCACCAAAGTGTGTGGAGTCTGGACCAACAACTCCACTAGCACATTGGTAGAGTCTTAGTGAGATGACTTTGGCTCAAAGAGGAGTCCCCAAAATGTTTATACCTCTTGTAACTAATCATTTTTAAGTTTGGGAAACATTAGGAAATAAGGAAGCCAATGACTATTGATGGCAAAAATGCAGACGCTATGACTCCTTTGCTGTGACTCTGGCAGTGAATCCTGTACTGGACTAGCTCAAGTATGGGCAGGGAAGTGCTATAGCTTGTATTGTTTAGTTCCCAGTTTCCCTGTGGGGCACTATTTGGGGTACAGGAATTGCTCATGATTTTACATAACGCAGAGATACCTACTAGACAGAATTTCACCAAGTCATGGCTAGGCACTGGAGGCTCAGTGGTGAGCACGTGGTTACCCCCTCATGAAGCTCAACAGCCGCAACATGCAATGCATTGGAATCCTGCCTCCACCTGTGTGAATCTCTGTTTGAGCATCAGTCTCTCAATCTCTCTCTCTCTCTCAGACAGGATCTCACTCAGTCACCCAGGCTGGACTGCAGTGGCATGATCACGGTTCACTGCAGCCTTGGTGCCGGGGGCTCAAGCCATCCTCCTGCCTCAGCCTCCTAAGTAGCTGCAACTGCAGGTGCATGCCACCATGCCCAGCTGATTTTAGAAAAATTTTTGTAGCGATGGAGTTTTGCCATATTACCCAGTCTGGTCTGGAACTCCTGGGCTCAAGCGATCCTCCTGCCTCAGCCTCCCAAAGTGCTGGGATTACAGGCGTGAGTCACCATGCATGGCCAATAAAACCAAGTTTTTTTTTTTTTTCAAATGGAGTCTTGCTCTTGCTCTTGTTCCCCAGGTTGGAGTGCAATGGCGCGATCTCAGCTCACTGCAACCTCCACCTCTGGGGTTCAAGCAGTTCTCCTGCCTCAGCCTCCCGAGTAGCTGGGATCATAGACGCATGCCACCACACCCGGCTAATTTTTGTATTTTTTGGTAGAGACAGGGTTTCATCATGTTGGCCAGGCTGATCTTGAACTCCTGACCTTGTGATCCACCTGCCTCAGCCTCCCAAAGTGCTGGGATTACAGGTGTGAGCCACTGTGCCCGGCCTAATAAAACCAACTTCTAATGACCACAGCTCTTTGCCAGCAACGGTGACCCAAATAAGTCCAACGAACAGGGAGGCTGTGGAATGGCACATGAGTCACTCTGGACCAGCAGGAAAATAGATTTTCACAGGTCTAGGGCAGGGCATGAATGAGGTGAGCACTGGACCGCTTATCATGTCGAAAGCAAGGAAGGTATCAAACACTAATAGGATGAAGTCAAAGGAACCCAGAACCGACTCACCTATGATGGGACAAGTTTTAGCACCAAAACAGATGTTTACAATAGACTGAAACATATCATAATGACAAAATTACAAAATGAAGCAACAGCAAGACCCCCCGCATTTGTCACCACTAGAATTTTCCAGGGAATAGGTCAGTTCTTTGACAATTGAGAAATAAAGGGACAGAATCAAGCATTTATCCTACCTTTCTATATTAGCTCCCTTGCTTCTTTCCTCCCTCTCTCTCCCTTCCTTCCCTTTTTTCCTTCCTTCCTTCCCCCTTCCCTTCCCTTCTTTCATCTTTCTTCTCTTTCTTTCCTTTCTTCAGGGACGCATTCTGTTGACCAACCTGGAGTGCAGTGGTGCAATCATGGCTCACTGCAGCCTTGACTTCACAGGCTCAGGTGATCCTCCCACCGCAGCCTCCTGACTAACTGGGATTACAGGCATGCACCACCAGGCCTGGCTACCTTTTGTAATTTTTTTGTAGAGATGGGGTTTTGACATATTGCCCAGGCTGATCTCGAACTCCTGGACTCAAAGCGATCCACCCACCTTGACCTCCCAAAGTACTGGGATTACAGGCATGAGCCACTGTGCCCCGCATCAGCTGTATTTCAAAAACACCAAGTCGGTGATAAGGAAAAGTTTTCCTTTATAGAAGAATT
Source organism: Homo sapiens (assembly GCF_000001405.40). Taxonomy (NCBI): domain Eukaryota; kingdom Metazoa; phylum Chordata; class Mammalia; order Primates; family Hominidae; genus Homo; species Homo sapiens. Next base: position 5,537,259 of record NC_000020.11, on the reverse strand, counting down.
CTATAATAGAAGCAAAAGGAATGATAGAATTTTTAAAAAAAATCATCTTGCAGGCATGAATGAAACAATGAATGTAAATAATGATCATCAGGAGATGCTAGAACCACGATGTGAAAGGTTTACAGGGAACTTTATGATGAAGAGATCAGGCTCACCACACCTGAACCTGCTGAGCATTTGGCCCTAGCATCACCAAACATAGCAATGAGCCATCCAGATGGGTAGCCATAGCAAAAGCACAATATCTCTTATCAATTCTTCTTCCCTAGAAAGCTGAATCTGAACAAGGCTTTAGATCTGACTTTCCAATGTACAGGGAATACAGGGGACAGAGTACTATAGGATGCAGATGACACCATAGGGAGCAAAAAGCCAAACTCAGAACACGGAATATTCTAGAAGGTAATTGATTCATCCTCTCCAAAAAAGCAATGGCATTGAAACAAAAAGAGATGTAAGACTGCTATGGAATAAAAGAGACTTAAGAGATACAATAACCAAATGCAACCTACGGACCTTTCTAATCCTGATTCAAACAAGCCAATTGTAAAAAGATACCCTGAGATAATCAGATAAATAAATATGCATCCTGGCTAACACGGTGAAACCCCATCTCTACTCAAAGTACAAAAAATTAGCCAGGCATGGTGGTATGCACCTGTAGTTCCAGCTACTTGGGAGGCTGAGGCAGGAGAATTGCTTGAACCCAGGAGGCTGAGGCAGGAGAATCTCTTGAACCCGGGAGGCAGAGGTTGCAGTTAGCTAAGATCGCACCATGGCACTCCAGCCTCGGCGACAGAGCGAGACTCCGTCTCAAAAAAGAAAAAAAATATATATATATGGACAGATAGTAGGTGATATTAAAGGGATTGTTGTTAGCTTTATTGGGTGTTAGCTTTATTGGGTATTTGATGGCATGTGTTTTTAAAATATTCTTATCAGTTAGAGAAGCATGCTAAAGTATTTACAAGAGAAATGATGTAGTATCTTGGATTTTAAAAAGTGTTTGCCTTTTATTTGTTTCCATCCCATTTAATAGAAGTTCAAGTATCTTGGATTTGCTTTAAAACAATCCGGTACAAAAAAGAGAGGATAGATAAAAGGATTCTGGCAACTTGTTGGTAATTGTTATAATTGTAGCTGAGTGATGAGTATCTATTCTGCCTACCTTTGCATGTGTTTAAAATTTTCCCTAACAAAAAGTTAAAAGAGAAAGCAAAAAAAAAAAAAAAAAAAAGTAGGGGAGCGCCAGGGCACTGGTTCTGAATCTGCTCCTAACCAGTTTTGAGCTTGAGCAAGTTAGTTCAATTCTCTGGGTTTCAATTTCCTTGTCAGTAAAATCAGTAATTCAGTGATGACCATCTAACACCTAACTTCTGTGGTTCTTTATTCTCTTTGACTTGGGAACCATTTTTATTTAATTAAATTAAATTTTTTTTAACATCAAAAAAAAAAATAATAGGGACAGGGTCTCCCTATGTTGCCCAGGCTTGCCTTGAACTGCTGCCCTCAAGCAATCTTCCCGTCTAGGCCTCCCAATGTGCTGAGCATGAGACACCATGCTGGCCGGGAGTCATTTTTAAATCCTTCTCTGTGACATCCAGGAGGGGAAGGCAACCGTGGTATGGGTTGTATCAGGAGGTGTGGGCTTCCTGAGGGAAGTGGAAAGCAGAACCAGTCCAGGGTTAAACAGTGGTAATGAAGAGTTTATTCGTGTTTTCTTAGCTAACCAAGGAGCTACAAAGGAGAAGAAGGATTCATTTGACACAATTTCCCCCCACTACCTTTTTATTTTTTCAGTGTATGTTGTTGGGTAATTTCTGTACAGGGTTCTCTATGCTGTGGGTCTAGATGAGAGAATTGCTTACTCACCCGTTGGCCTAATGCAGAGGGAATAGCTTTTCCCAGCTGCGGGGGTGTAACTGTTTCAGCTCAAGAGACTCTTACCCAACATTCTGTTCATCGTAAACAAAATTCTAGGTATGTAGGGAAATGTCTGCAATGAGGCAAGAACAACTTGTGAGCAGAGGGTAGAAAGCTTTTGATGAGTAGCTGCTATAGGATTTCCACATTATGGAATGTAGAAACCCCAGTCTGGCTTCTGAATTCTTATACTCTGTCAGCTGGTATTTGTCTAGGGCATACACATTGACTGTAATATTAGATTGAGCCAAATGTCTATAGAAATATACATCTGCAAAAAAATGCACCCTTAAGAATCAATTAGCTGTTAGTTATGCCTTTGTTATTCAGCAAGCGACAGGGAGATGACTGTGGATTGATCTATAATTCTTTTAATTTCAGAAGTCAAGTTGCATAGCTTTAAATACCATCTATGTGGTATAGACCCTCAGATTTATACCTGCAGCCTCATCTCTCCTGTGAACTGCAGATCCCTATTAGACAACTGCCTACTCAGAATCTAGCAGGTGGTCTAGCAGGTCTCTCAAACTTAACATATCCCAGTATGAACTCATGTGCAACCCCTTCTTCTCAAACATTTTACTTGCGGTCTTCCACATAACAGGCGCTCCATCCTTCCAGTTTCTCAGGTCAAATCTTTAGTCACCTTTGCTTCTTTTTTTTTTTTTTTTTTTTTTTGAGACAGAGTCTTGCTCTGTCACCCAGTCTGGAGTGCAGTGGCACGATCTTGGCTCACTGCAACCTCCGCCTCCTGGATTCAAGCGATTCTCCTGCCTCAGCCTCCCGAGTAGCTGGGATTACAGGCGAGTGCCACCACGCCTGGCTAATTTGTGTATATTTAGTAAAGACAGGGTTTCGTCATGTTGGCCAGGCTGGCCTCGAACTCCTGACCTCAAGTGATCTGCATGCCTCGTCCTCCCAAAGTGCTGGGATTACAGGCATGAGCCACTGCACCCGGCCCACCCTTGATTCTTTTACTTTAATTCCCAACCTCCGATTCATTAGCAAATCCTGTAGGGTGCTTCTTTCAAAATATTTCTTTTCTCCAGCATGAATTGGAATCTCTGGCCAGAACTGGACCTCCTCCCTGCTTCTGGTCACTACTTGGTCACCACGGAGAAAATCAGGACTTAACTTCTTTATAACTCTGATCTCTGCTTATTCCAGGCACCACGAAAACCCCAGGACTCCCTGGAGATCCCTCAGCCCTGAGACACTTGTCCCATACAATTGTGCTTCTGCCTCTCTGAGCCCTTCTTCCAGCTCTCACCATCCCCTGCAGCTTTTCCTCTGTGCTGCTTGGTGAATTATCAGCTAAATGTCCTCATCCACCTCTCCTCTCTACACATTCCCTTCATCTTCTTTCTCTAGGCTAGCACTGCCCAATAGAAACATAATGCAACCCTAGATGTATTCTAACTTTTCTTTTTGTTTGTTTGTTTTGTGGCAGTGACACGATCACAGCTCACTGTAGCCCCAACTTCCCAGGCTCAGGTGATTCTCCCACTTCAGCCTCCTGAGTAGCTGGGACTACAGGTACTTGCCATCATGCCCAGCTAATTTTGTATTTTTTTGTAGAAATAAGATCTCACCATGTTGCCCACGGTACTCTCGAATTCCTGAGCTCAAACAATCCACTCACCTTGGCCTCCCAAAGTGCTGGGATTACAGGTGTGAACCACCTCACCCAGCTAAATTTTCTAGTAGCCCTATTAAAATAAGTAAAAAGAACCAGGTGAAATTAATTTCAACTATATATTTTATGTAGCCCAATAAATCCAACACAAAAAAACATATTTTATATAACCCAAAACACTGCAACATGCAGAAAATATAGAAATGTTAAAAGGTATTTTACATCTTTTTTCTTCCATACTGTCTTTAAAATCTGGTGTGTATTTTATGTGTAGAGCACATGATAGTTTGACTTTTTTTTAATTTTTAAATTTTTATTTTATTTTGTTTAGGTATATAAACTATTAACAAACAAGGCCTACAAACTTATTTCTTCTTAGATACACCCATGGTATGGCCACAGCGGCCAGTGGTCTTGCTGTGCTGGCCTGGGACATGAAGGCCCCAGAAGTGGCATAGCCCTCTCTGGGCTCAAATCTTCTTCAGTTGCTCCAGGTTCTCACAGAGGTTGTTATCCAGACCATTGGCCAGGTCCTGGCTATATTTTCCGTCCTTTATATCTTTCTGTCTGTTTGAGAACCAGTCTGGGATCTTGGGCTGGCATGGATTCTGCATAGTGGTGATCACACATCCACCTTATGCTCAGTGAGTTCTCCTGGCCTCTCAGTGAGGTCAATGTCAGCTTTCCTCAACACCACAGGAGCGTATCTTCAACACACGCCCTTGATGGCAATGATGGCAAAAGCTATTTTCCGATGCCCATCAATGTTGGTGTTGAGTACTCACAAAATATGCTGGGACTTCTCAGGGATCACTAGAGACATGGTGGCAGCACAAATGGTGGTGTGTAGGTCTCTGGTGGAAGGAAGACAGAATGGAAAAGACCCCTTCTTTTTTTTTTTTTTTTTTTTAGAGACAGAGTCTGCTCTGTCACCAAGGCAAGAGTGCAGTAGCATGGTCATAGCTCACTGTAGCCTCGATCTACTGGGCTCAAGGGATCCTTCTGCCTCGGCCTCCTGAGTAGCTGGGACTACAGAAGCATGCCACCATGCCCAACTAATTATTTATTTATTATTATTAGTTTTATTTTATTTATTTATTTATTTATTTTTGAGATGGGGTCTCACTATGTAGCCCAGTCTGGAGTGCAGTGGCGCCATGCTGGCTCACCACAACCTCTGCCTCCCGGGTAGCTGGGATTATAGGCACGTGCCACTGCATCTGGCTAATTTTTGTATTTTTAGTAGAGATGGGGTTTCACCATGTTGGCCAGGCTGGTCTTGAACTCTGATCCGCCTGACTTGGCCTCCCAAAGTGCTGACATTACAAGTGTGAGCCACCGCACCGGGCCTAATTTTTTTTTTTTAAGATATGGGATCTTGCTATGTTGTCCAGGCTGGTCTTGAACTCCTGGCCTCAAGTGATCCTCCTGCCTTGGCTTCCCAAAGTGTTGGGATTACAGGCGTGAGCCACTGCACCTGGCCAGTTTGGCTTTTCAATGGTTAAAGTGAAATGAAGTCCTACCAAACCAATAAAGCTGTGATTAACAGAAAAATATTTTCTACTGCCTCAGTTTCTAGTTAATTTGAATTAAATTCAATTAAAAATTCAGTCCCTGATCACAGGAGCCGCATTTCAAGAGCTTGGTAGCCACATGTGGTTGGTGGCTGCCACAATGGACTTTGCAGCTCTGTGTGAAACCACACTTCCCCTACTGCTCTCTCAAAACGGGAATGTTTTCTTCCCTGTGCTTTTTGAGTATCTGTGGGCTTGAGGGTGGGGTGGGTGGGGTGAGTGTCTTTTCTGCCAGTCATTGCTGCTTTCCTGGAACATTCTTCCTCCTTCCCATAACAAACTGTTTCTCCCACACCCTGTGGTTACCTTCATCTACCAAAGCCTGGGTACAAACATTCTTCCTTGGAGATTTCACTTTCTGAATCATTGCCACTTTCTCTAACACTTTCCTGTCCTTGGTGATATCAGTAGCTTTGTAAATAATATTTCCAAAATACTGGCCTCTCAGTTTCCTGCCAGTGATCCTGTCATCTCCCCAGCCTTTCATTCCCATGGTCATATCCCAGAGCTCTCCTATCAAATAGCGACACCCTTTCCATAACGGAAATGACATGAGTCCCATTCCCCTCCACTGTTCACTCCCCCTGGCACCCTCCCTGTGCTGAGGCCACCAGTGCATCCATCCCAGCTTCTCTGCTCATGATCCACCTAATCTCATGCTCTCACTGACTGCCCTGCCAGCTGTAATGAGACTGTCAGCTGCTGGAATCTCTTCCTTGTGTGTGCTCAAGGCCCTTGCCCTGTCTTGCTCCATCACATCCCTCTTATTATTTTCATCTCACCTCCAAGTCTGAATCTGCACCCACACAGCTGAACCTGGCTGGGGAAAGCAAGCAGCACCTAAGGTCCCTCATGGTCATGGCCACTAACTGGCCTCAGTTGACCCCAAATCTATGACAGTTCCCTTCAACCTCCCATTCTCCTAGATGCTATTTTACTATCTGTAAAAGGACACAAAAGACCTCCACTTTGCTAAATTCATTTTCCCCCTGAATATATCACTTAGGAAAGTTAATGATACCCTGTTTTCCTGATTTGTAAAAGGCAGATAACGTTGAATATAACTTTACACAACTTAGGTAAATCACATATCAAAAGTCTGCTTGTCAAAAATTAGAGATGCTGGCTGGGCACGGTGGCTCACACCTGTAACCCTAGCACTTTGGGAGGCCAAGGTGGGTGGATCATTTGAGCCCAGGAGTTTGAGAACAGTCTAGACAACATGGTGAAGCTCGGTCTCATTATGTTAAAAACAATTTTAAAAAATTAGAGATGTTAGGCCTGGCATGGTGGCTCATGCTTGTAAACCCAGTGCTTTGGGAGGCCCAGAGGGTCACCTGAGGCCAGAAGTTCAAGACCAGTCTGGGCAACAAAGCGAGACTCTGTCTCTACAAAAAAATAAATAAATAAAAAATAAAAATAAAAACTAGGGGCTGTGGTGGTGCTTGCCTATAGTCTTAGGTAATCAGGAGGCTGAGGTGGAAGGATCGCTTGAGCCCAGGAGTTTGATGCTCCAGTGATCCGTGATTGTGCCACTGCACTCCAGCCTGGGCGACAGAGTGAGTCCCTGTCTCAAAAAAAAAAAAAAAAAAAAAAAAAATCACATGCCAAATATGCTCTGATAGGATTTGGAATTTTCCACATTAAAAAGAAAGAAAGAAAAAAAGGCCAGGCGCAGTGGCTCATGCTTGTAATCCCAGCACTTTGGGAGGCCGAGGCCGGTGGATCACCTGAGGTCTGGAGTTCGAGACCAGCCTGACCATGGAGAAACCCCATCTCCACTAAAAATACAAAATTAGCCAGGTGTGGTGGTGCATAACTGTAATCCCAGCTACTCGGGAGGCTGAGACAGGAGAATCGCTTGAACGCGGGAGATGGAGGTTGTGGTGAGCCGAGATCGCACCATTACACTCCAGCCTGGGCAATAAGAGAGAGACTCTGCCTCAAAAAAAAAAAAAAAAGAGAGAGAGAAAGCTCTGCCTGTTTACCCGATCCTAAGCTGAATGTTGCTAAGCTGAATGTCGCATCTGTGCCTGAGCTGGGTGGGTAAGCATGAACTGCTGAGCCTGGGGTGGTGGAGAAGACCTGGATTCCCTGTGGCTGTCCTGTCAAGATGAGAAAGATGTGCAGCAAAGAGACTGCGGCCGATAATCTTATGAACTTTTTTCTGACAATAAATTGCTAATTACTGTTCTTACTAATTCCAAGCTAAGGGCCATTCTCAATTGGTGTAGGATTGAGCGTATACATAATCACATAACCGAGACTTCCGCAGTAGAAGCTGAGACGCGCGCGCCACCTAGAGGGAGCCTTGTGTGCCGGGGGAGTGTGGGCCGTCAGGGAAGCAGGTTCTCTCTGCCTCTACTCGCTGTGCGTGCCATTACCAAGGTGCCTGAAGGTCTAATTCTTTCTTTCCCCATCTGTAAAATGAGGATAATAATCACTATGACAGATGGCTGCAGTAAAGTTTAATGCGACCATGCCTGTAAGGCATCGATAATGTGCCCCAAATCGTCTAAGTTTTCAGGAAATAAACAGCAGCAATTATAACACATGCAAGCCATGAACCCAAGTAGGTCATCTGCGCTGAACAAACCCTTTCATCGAGTATCGTTGACTTCTGGCTTCAGGTGCGACATACACACTCTGCACCAAAAGGTGAAGAATTCTGGCCACACTCAGTGGCTCACGCCTGTGATCCCGGCCCTTTGGGAGGCCGAGGCGGGAGGATCGCTTGAGCCCAGGAATTCAAGACTAGCCTGGGCAACATAGTGAGACCCTGTCTCTATTAAAAATAAATAAATAAATAAATAAATATTTTTTTTAAAAAAAGGTGAAGAATTCTGAACTACATAATCTCCTGTTACCCTTTGAATCTCTTCATCTACCTCAGAAATGCTGCGTGTGTTTGCAACACATCATCATAGAAACAGGCATCATGACCGTTTAAGTGTAGGGCTTTCCAGGATGGCAGAGGCATTATTAGAGGGCAGATTAATTGCTGTCATCTCAGTGTGCAGGAGCTTGAAATGCTGTGTGCATGTGCTGCCATCTTGTGGTACCTTGGGGGAACATGTATCTGATTATTCTGGAGTCGCTAGCTGACTGGGTGAGTTCTAACCTTTTTGAGCAGGGTTACATGTTACATACATATACACGGTACATAGGCACCCATAAAGCCACACCAAAAATGGTGTCCCAGACAGTGGGTTATTTCACCCATCAAATTATTCACAGGTTACTCTAAGTGTGGGAGAAGAGAGGACAAGGCACATCCGTGCCTAAGGAGGAAACACATGCCCCTTTGCAGACCCGGGGGGCTGTCCTGTGGAGGGAGGCCCTGTTTCCTAAGTGCTTCCGAGGGAAGCAGATCTAGGAAACTGAAGGCCTTAGAGATTCAGCTCAAGATGTACCAACTCTAGACTGAACTCCTCAGTTCTGCTGGTGTGCCAGCACTGCTCGCTCCCAGCCCCTCAACACACACCTTAACTCATTCTCTGGAAAGCTACACACATTCCAAGTAAGAGCGTGGCAGTGTCAGTCCCCAGGCTGCTCTGGACATTCACACACTGAAGGGCATTGGGGTTGTGTCCAGTTTGGGACTATTATGCATAAATCAGCTATAAACACTTGTCTACGGGCTTTCGTGTGAACTAAGTTCTCATTTCTGTTGGCTAATTCCGAGAACAGTTAAGTATTAGGTCATATGGTAGTTGCATGTTTAGCTTTTATTTTTTTTTTTTTCTTTCTGAGATGGGTTCTTGCTTTGTTGCCCAGGCTGGAGTGCAGTGACATGATCATAGCTCACGGTTGTCTCTAATTCGTGGGCTCAAGTAATCCTCCTTCCTCAGCCTCCAGAGCAGCTGGGAGGCCACCACACCTGGCTTATTTTTAAAAGTTTTTGTAGAGATAGGGGGTCTCCCAATGTTACCCAGGCTGGTCTCAAACTCCTGGGCTTAAACAATACTCCCACCTTGGCCTCCGAAAGTGCTGGGATTACAGGCATGAGCCACTGTGCTCGGCTGCATGTTTAATTTTGTTGTTGTTGTTTTGAGATGGAGTCTTGCTCTGTCACCCAGGCTGGAGAGCAGTGGCACAATCTCGGCTCAGTTCACTGCAACCTCCTCCTCCCAAGTTCAAGCGATTCTCCTGCCTCAGCCTCCCAAGTAGATGGGATTACAGGCAGGTGCCACCATGCCCAGCTAATTTTGTCTTTTTAGTAGAGACAGGGTTTCACCATGTTGGCAAAGCTGGTCACCAACTCCTGACCTCAGGTGATCCACCCGCCTCAGCCTCCCAAAGTACTGGGATTACAGGCGTGAGCCACTGTGCCCGGTCTTTTTACACTGTTTTTGTCTGGCTTTGGTATGAGGGTAATACCTGCTTTCTGGAATGAGTTGGGAAGGGTTCCTTTTCCTTCTATTTTCTGTAGAGTTGGTCTTAACTCCCCTTTAAATCTTTAATAGAATTCTCCAGTGAAACAATCTGGGTTGGAGATTTCTTTTTCAGGAAGTTAACTAAAAATTCAATTTTCTAATAGTTATGCAGCTATCCAAATTACCTATTTCAATTAGGTGAGTTGCGGTAGTTTGTACTTTACAAGGAATTGGTCCATTTAATCTAAGTTATCAAATTTATGTATGCAGAGTTGTTTGTAGCATTTCGTTATCCTTTTGATGTCCGCAGCGTCTGTAGTGATTTCCTCTGTTTCACTCCTGATATTGGTAACTGTGTACTATAATTTCTAAAATCTATAAGCGATATTAGTAATTTTTTTCTTCGTCAGTCTTGTCAGAGCTTGGTCAGTTTTACAGATCTTTTCAAAGAACACACTCTTGACTCCACCAACTTTTTCTAATGTTATTCTGTTTTTCATTTCATTGATTTCTGCTCTTTATTATTTCCTTTCTTGTGCTGGTTTTAGGCTTATTTTGCTCTCTTTTTTTAAGTTCTTCTTTTTTTTAAATAACATAAATATTGATGAGATCTCACTGTGTTGCCCAGGCTGGTCTTAAACTCCTGGGCTCAAGTGATTCTCCTGCCTCAGCCTTCCAAAGTTCTGGGATTACAGGCATGAGCCACTGTATTTGGTCGTTTTTCTAAGTTCTTGAAGGAGAGTTTAAGTTTTTCATTTGAGACTTTTCCTCTTTTCTGAGGTATGCATTTAGTGCTACAAATTTTCCTCTTAGCCTTGCTTTAACTGTTCTCACAAATTTTGGTATGTTGTGTTTTCAGTTTCATTCGTTTTATTCTATTTTAAAAATTTCCTTTGAGACTTCCTCTTTGATCCATGGATTATTTAGCATACATTGGCTAGTTTCTAAGTGCTTTGGAGATTTTCCTCCGATCTTTCTGTTGCTGTTCTAGTTTGGTTGCCAAGCAACTGGCCTTTTATTCCTTTCTGAGCCTGCCTGGCCAGTCTCTGGCTTTACCTCCTGGTATGTTGGTGTCACAAAGGGATCTTCATGACTTCACTGCCCTTCCCTCAGGTACTTGAGTCCGGGAACTGACTCTCAACCTGCCTTTGCCTACCTCTCAGTCTCAGAGGAACCCCTTCGTTGAGTTTTTTCCTCCTTTTGGCTCTTGCGTTTCTCTCACCCCATCTCACCTCCGCCTGTCCATCATGAGCCTATTCTATTCCCTGTCCTAAGTTTGCACAAGAGACAAACCTGAGGCTCAGATTGGGTAACACGGCCACAGGTTGACAGCCCAGATGTGATGAGCAGGAACAGAGAGAGCAGAGTCCCCAGGTGAATGGTCAGGCCTTGGGGACTTCAACAAAGAAAGGTGAGGTGCTGGGGCCTGGGGCTCTGAGCCTGAGGAATATAGGACACTGGGAGGACAGCAGGTGGAGTCATGGCTAAGGGGGCTGAGAACGTTCCTGTATCCTTGATTCTAACACTAGGATCAGCCCCAGGAAGACACACATGGGCCTTGACAATGGAAAACTTTGTGCTGGTGGGGTGTCCTAGAAGGGAGCAGGACAAGGGGGAGGAGCGTCTCTCAGTACCGGGTGCTGTGTGACAGGCATTGGGTGATGATCAGGAAAGAGGTTCCTTTCTATCATTTTGATATCTTATTCAGATTTTGCATGAATTGAACAGTCAACTTCTAAGAGGTTTTATTTCAGGAAACGGCAAATTCCTCCCCTTGCCTGTCCCCAGTACCTGCCCCTTAGGATGCCATTTTCTTTTCTTTTCTTTTCTTTTCTTTTCTTTTCTTTTTTGAGACAGAGTTTCACTCTTGTTGCCCAGGCTGGAGTGCGATGGAGCGATCTCAGCTCACTGCAACCACCGCCTCCCAGGTTCAAGCGATTCTCCTGCTTCAGCCTCCTGAGTAGCTGGGATTACAGGCATACGCCACCACGCCCAGCTAATTGTGTACTTTTAGTAGAGATGGGTTTTCTCCATGTTGGTCAGGCTGGTCTCGAACTCTCGACCTCAGGTGATCCGCCTCGGCCTCCAAAAGTGCTGGGATTATAGGCATGAGCCACCGCGCCCGGCCAGGATGCCATTTTCTCCTCTCTGTCTCATTTTTTTTTTTTTTTTTTTGAGACAGAGTCTTGATCTGTTGCCTAGGCTGGAGTGCAGTGGTGCAATATCAGCTTACCACAACCTCCATCTCCCAGGTTCAAGCTATTCTCCTGCCTCAGCCGCCCGAGTAGCTGGGAGTGCACCACCACGCCCAGCTAATTTTTGTATTTTTAGTAGAGACGGGGTTTCACCATGTTGGCCAGACTGGTCTCGAACTCCTGACCTCAGGTGATCTGCCCGCCTCAGCCTCCCAAAGTGCTGGGATTACAGGTGTGAGCCACTGCGCCCAGCCATTTTTTTTAAGGGGTGCTGTCATTGTGTTACCCAGGCTAGCCTCAAACTCCTGGGCTCAAGCGAGGCTCCTGCTTCAGCCTCCGGAATAATTGGTATTACACATGCAAACCTTTCTGAGCTGAGCCACAAGGAGCTTCTCTCATATTATACCCATCCCCCAATGACCCACATCTGCCAGCTCGATTTCAAGGCAGCCTGCTGTCTTCCCTTCTGTTCTGTAAGTGGCTAGATCTCAGGATTATTACATCATAATTTGTTGCAACAATTCGGGTCACAGTTGTCTTTGCTCTAAGGCAATGCTTTTCCTTCCTTCCTTCCTTCCTTCCTTCCTTCCTTCCTTCCTTCCTTCCTTCTTTCCTCCCTCCCTTCCTCTCTTTCTTTTCTTTTCTTTTTTCTTTTTTTTTTTGACAGGGTCTTGCTCTGTTGCCCCAGGCTGGAGCACAGTGGCATGATCTTGGCTGACTGCAACCTCTGCCTCCTGGGCTCAGGCCTCCCGAGTAGCTGGGACCACAGGCATGCACCACTACACCTGGCTAATTTTTGTATTTTCTGTAGAGATGGGGTTTTGCCATGTTGTCAAGGCTATGGCAGTGCTTTTCTGGTGAATGTTCTCCATAAGCCTTGCTTTGCTTTTTCTTTTCTTTTCAATTCTTCTTTTTGTATGATTTTTGTACTTCTCTCCAGGTCATTCTTTCTTGCTAACTTTTATGTCTGAATGTGGCAAGTTTTTCCTAAGTTGATTTTAGCAGAAAGCTTGTCTAGAGAAAGATGAAGAAGCACTGTGGTCCAGGTTCTGATGAATTATCATGGGAAGCCAAGGTCTCTGTCTGTGAGTTTTTTTCTCCATTAAAAAAAAAATAAAATATAGGACTGGGAGAAGTGGCTTACACCTGTAATCCCAGTACTTTGGGAGGCCGAGGCAGGAGGATTACTTGAGACCAGGAGTTTGAGAACAGCCTGGGCAATAGAGCAAGACCCTCATCTCTCCAAAAAATAAAAGTAGCCAGTTATGGTGGTGCATGCCTGGAGTCCTAGCTATTCAGGAGACTGAAGCAGGAGGATCACTTGAGCCCAAAAGTTTGAGACCAGCCTGGGCAACATAGGGAGACCCTGTCTCTACAAAATAAAGGTTAAAAAAAAATGAGGCTGGGCATGGTGGCTCATGCCTGTAATCCCAGCGCTTTGGGAGGCCAAGGCAAATGGATCACTTGAGGCCAAGAGTTCGAGTCAAGCCTGGCCAACATGGTGAAACCCCATCTCTATTAACAATACAAAAATTAGGCCAGGTGCGATGGCTCACGCCTGTAATCCCAGCATTTTGGAAGACCAAGGCAGGCGGATCACAAGGTCAGGAGTTCAAGACCAGCATGATCAACATGGTGAAAACCTGTCTCTACTAAAAAATACAAAAATTAGCTGGTCGTGGTGGCACGCACCTGTAATCCCAGCTACTCAGGAGGCTGAGGCAGGAGAATTACTTGAACCTGGGAGGTGGAGGTTGCAGTGAGCTGAGATCATGCCATTGCACTCCAGCCTGGGCAACAGAGTGAGACTCTGTCTCAAAAAAAAAAAAAAAAAAAATTGAAATGAGTCGCGTATGGTGGCACATACCTGTGGTACCAGCTACTTGGAATGTTGAGGTGAGAGGATCACTTGGGTCCGGAAGGTCAACGCTGCAGTGAATTGTGATAGCACCACTGCACTCCAGCCTGGGCGATGGAGAGAAAAACCTTGTCTCTAAAAAAAAAAAGAAATACAGTAGCCAACATGAAAGTACATATAAACACATATATGTTATGCAGAAAGAGAACTAACTCCAGAACTCATCCCAGTGTAGCCATTGCTCAGCTCCAGAAACAAACTTCTGTGATTATTTTTGCAGACCTCTCTGTACCCACCTTGGCAACCACTATCCAGAATTTTATGTTTTTCAATCAATTGCCTTTCTTTGTAGTCTGCTTCAATTCTTTGTATTTGCACAGATTACATGGAATAGTTTTGCAAGCTTTTTATGCCCTACTGTTCTTCTGGATCTCCACACCTTGTTTGTGACTTTTCTGCATGTTGGAGCATGGAGCCTGTGCAGTATTCCACTGTAGTGGCTGTAGCGCATATCATTTCTCCATTCTTCTGTTAATGTACATTTGGATTGCTTTCAGTTTTGCTGCCTTGATCAATATTTACCTGTCTTCCAGGACACATGCGCAAAGTGCTATGTAGTAGTGGAATTGCAGGGCAAGAGTTGCATGTTCAACTTTATTGGATAAGGCCAAACTGTTTTCCAAAGTGGCCATACTAATTTGGACATTTGCCCGCCACCCCCATCCCAGTGAAAACAGGTTCCTCCTATTCTACTTCCTTGCAAATACTTTGGATTCTTGCATTAATATTAACTCTTCACTTTTTACTCAGTGACTGGTAACTGTAGGGCTATTGATAGGAATACATCTCTCCTTCCTCCTCCATCAAAATGACTATCTTTCATGATGCTGTTACCAGCGGTGAATCCATATGGATCTGCAGCAACTAAATTCCTGCCTCCTTGATGGAAGGAATTCATCTGAGTGGCAGAAGGCAGAGTGAGCAACCAAGGCAAGTTTTAGAGCAGGAGTGAAAGTCTATTAAAAAGTTTTAGAGCGGGATGAAAGGAAGTAAAGTACACTTGGAAAAGGGCCAAGCAGGAAACTTGAGAGATTGCCCTTTGACTTGGGGTTTTGTACATTGGCATGATTCTGGAGGGTTGTGTCTCTCTTTCCCTTATTCTTCCCTTGGGGTGGGATATCCCCATGCAGAGTGGCCTACCAGCACTTGGGAGGGTCTGCATGCACAGTGTGTTTACTGAAGTTGTATGCATGCTCACTTGAAGTGTTTTTCACTTACCAGTGGAATGTTCCTAGAGGAAGGTCATATACCAGTTAAACTCTGCCATTTTGCCTCTTAGTAGGCATGCTTGAGCTCATTCACCCAACTCCTGAGATCTTATCAGGAAACTGCTAATGCAGCTAATCACCAGCTTCAGGTGTTTTGTATCTATTGGGAGACGGCCGTTCCCTTGTGCCAGCTGTGACCAATTAGTATTTTAGAGAGACAGTTTAACAACCACCTAACCATCACCTGATGGTTGTCTGACAGTCCTGGTGGTGTTGGGGGCCTCTCCTTCCCTGCTCATGTCTGTCTAACTACCTACTGTAACATTTCCCCCCTCGAGATTCTAGACCCAATTCTGGAAAAAATGGATGAAGGTCAGTCTTCTGTAGCCGCTTCCTGCTGGCAGAGGGGTGGTGGTGGTTGTTCTGTGGGTTTTGGCCTCTTGCTAGCTGTCAGGGCAGGGTGACTCCATAGACTGATGAAAACAGTATCCAGCCAGATCTAGCAGAGACAGGGAATTCACCTCTGCCGTGTCCCACTGATGGGCAGTCTACTGATCTTCTGTAGAAGGGTGACTCTTGATCATTGAGGAGATGGTATCCCTCACCAAGGATCATCTGGCGCTTGGCAGCCCCAAAGTGAGAGGAGACAAATCAGGTGATTAGATTTAGAAGACATGGACCAAAAAGGAGCAAAAGTAGGAGATTAACAAGTGGACCTAAAAAGGGAAAAACCCAGAGAACCATTTCCATGTTGCTTCCTAATCTAACAAACCCTGAGATGCTTGTTCCCATCAACTAGAGGCTCAGTATAGGAGTTGTCTGATGTTGTCTTGTACTTTTGGCAATTCATTTACCCAAAAGCAACATTTGTTATCTAAGGCTAAGCAAATTCCTCCCTGTGCTTCCATTAACATATCATAGTCCTTGGAGATTTTGGAGGACTACAGCTGCTAAAGAGTCCATTTGTTCTTACACTGTTGTTAAAATTTTAGCCTCAATGTTGTCGGCTATTTCCTTTGTGAGTTGGCTATAGATCAAGGAGACTTTTGTGATTCCAGCAATTCTGATTTCCATACAGGGTATAATGCCATGTTCCACAAGAAGCAGAATTAATTGGATAGCCCTCTTCACCTTGGGCAAGATAGGATGCCTGTAGATTGGTGCTGGAAGAGAGAGATTGCCAGGGACTATGAAGGCGTCTGGGGATACATAGCCTATGGTACAAGTTTCATTCCAGTTAGTGGGGAGGCATTGGTGAACTGATTGGCCACAAATATAGATGGCTCCTTGGGTTTTAAGACAAGTAGAGATGTCCAAATGAAATAAGTCGGTGAGGACAGCTTCAAAAAATCCTGAGGCTGCCAACATGCCCAGGTAGCTCATGGCTATTGTCATACCTGGTAAGACTTGGGTGCCTGGGGTTGCTAGCTGATTCCAATATGTGCCCGGAATTAGAATATTGATCCAGATTTTTACATTACCCATGCCTCTTATTTCATCTGAGCTGTAGCCAGAGATCACTGGTTGGTTCACAGAAGTAAGCAGGATC